>NC_000023.11:86401935-86704966 GCF_000001405.40 Homo sapiens | reverse complement strand
GTGAATTGTGCTGCTATAAATGTGCATTTATCTTTTTTGTATAATGACTTCTTTTCCTCTGGGTACATACCCAGTAGTGGGATTGCTAGATCAAATGGTGGTTCTACTTTTAGTTCTTTAAGGAATCTCCACATTGTTTTCCATACTGGTTGCACTAGTTTACATTCCCACCAGCAGTGTAGAAGTGTTCCCTTTTCACTGCATCCACACCAATATCTATTATGTTTTGATTTATTGACTATGGCCATTCTTGCAGGAGTAAGGTGGTATTGCACTGTGATTTTGATTTGCATTTCCTGTATATCTTCTTTTGATAAGTGTCTACTAATGTCACTTGCCCACATTTTTGATGGTATTGTTTTTGCCTTGCTGATTTGTTTGAGTTCTTTGTAGAATCTGGATATTAGTCCTTTGTTAGATGCAGAGTTTGCAAACATTTTCTGCCATTCTGTGAGTTGGCTGTTTACTCTGAAGATTATTACTTTTGCTGTGCAGAAGGTTTTTTTTGGTTTAATTAGGCCCCATTTATTTATTTATTTTTATTACATTTGCTTTTTCGGTCTTAATCACAAGCTCTTTGTTTAGGTCAATGTTTATAAGAGATTTTTCTATGTTTTCTTCTAGAATTTTTATTAATCGAGGTCTTAGATTTAAGTCTTTAATCCATCTCAAGTTTATTTTTGTATATGGTGAAAGACAAGGATCTAGTTTCATTCTTCTACACATGGTTATCCAATTTTCCAAGCACCATTTGTTGAATAGGGTTCCCTTTCCCCCAATTTATGCTTTTGGATGCTTTGTCAAAAATTAGCTTTATTTCTGGGTTCTCTATTCTGTTTCATTGGTCTATATGTCTATATTCATATAAGTACCATGCTGTTTTGGTTTTGGTTACTATATCCTTGTAGCATAATTAGAAATCCAGCAATGTGATGGCTCTCCAGCTTTGTTCATTTTGTTTAGGAATGCTTTGGCTATTCAGGCCAATTTTTTTCTTCCATATGAATTTTATGATAGTTTTTTTGTTAATAATGGCATTGGTAGTTTGATAGAAATTGTAATAAGTCTGTAGATGGCTTTGGGCGGTATGGCCATTTTGACAATATTGATTCTTCCAATCCATGAGCATGGAATGTTTTTCCATTTGTTTGTGTCATCTATTATTTCTTTCAGGAGTGTTTTGTAGTTCTCCTTGTAGAGATCTTTCGACTCATTGGTTAGATGTATTCCTAGGTAGAGATCTTTCGACTCATTGTTTAGATGTATTCCTAGATATTTTACATTTTTATGACTATCCTAAATGGGATTGCATTCTTGATTTGGCTCTCAGCTTGAATCTTATGGGTGTATAGAAATGCTACAATTTTTTTGTATGTTGATTTTGTATCCTGAAACATTACTGAAGTCATTTAACATGTCTTGAAATCCTTTGATAGAGTCTATAGGGTTTTCTACGTATACAATCATATTGTTAGTGAAGAGAGATATTTTAACGTCCTCTTTTCCTATTTGTATGTCTTTTCTTTCTTTCTCTTGCCTGATTGTTCTGGCTAGGACTTCCAATACTATGTTGTATAGGAGTGGTAAAAATGGGCAACCTTCTCTCGTTCCAGTTCTTATGGGGAAAATGCCACCAGTGTATGACCTTCCAGTATGATGCTGGCTGTTGGTTTGTCATATATGGCTTTTATAATTTTAAATTATGTTTCTTCAATGTCTAATTTGTTGAGGGTTTTTATAATAAAGGAATGCTTGATTTCATTGAATTTTTTTCTGCATTTATTGAGATGATCATATGCTTTAGGTTTTAAATGATGTTTAGGTGGTGAATCACGTTTCTGGACTTGAGTACATTGACCCATCACTGTATCACTGGGATGAAACCCACTTGATCATGGTGTATTATCTTTTTGATGTGTTGTTGGATTTGGTTTTCTTGTAATTTATTGAGGATTTTTTCATTTAGGTTCATCAGGGATATTGGTCTGTAGTTATCTTTTTTTGGTTATGTGCCTTTCTTGCTTGGGTAACAAGGTGATACTGGCTTCATAGAATGAGTTGGAGGGGATTCATTCTCAATATTTTGGAAAAGTTTCAGTAGGATTGGTACCACTTCTTTGAAGGTCCAGTGAATTTGGCTTTCAATCCATCTAGCCCTGGGCTTTTGTTTGACTGGCAATTTTTAAATTAGTGATTCAATCTCATTGCCTGTTATTGGTCTGTTTAGGATTTCTAGTTCTTCCTGATTCAAGCTAGGAGGGTTGTATGTTTCCAGGAATTCATTCATTTCCTCTAGGTTTTCTAGTTTGTGTGCATAGAGGTGGTCATAGTAGTCTCAAATAATCTTTTGAATTTCTGTGGTGTTGGTTGTAATAGCTCCATTTTTATTTCTAATTGAGCTTATTTGAATCATCTCTCTTCTTTTCTTGATTAATCTACCTAATGTTCTATAGATTTTGTTTATCTTTTCACAGAACCAACTTTTTCTTTAACTGATCTTTTTCATAGATTTTGTTTCAATTTTATTTAGTTCTGCTCTAATCCTTGTTATTTCTTTTCCCCTGCTAGCTTTGGGCTTGGTTTGGGCTAGTTGCTCTAGTTCCTTGAGGTGTGATGTTAGGTTGTTAATTTGTGACCTTTCAGACTTTTCAATGTAGGCATCTAGCACCATAAACCTTCCTCTTGACACTATTTTTCTTTCTATATCCCAGCTGTTTTAATAACTTGTGTCACCATTATCATTCATTTTGAATATTTTTAAAATTTCCATCTTGATTTTATTGTCAAACCAAAAATCTTTCAAGAGCAGATTGTTTAATTTCCATGTTCTTCTATAGCGTTGAGGGTTCCTTTGGCAGTTGATTTCTAGTTTTATTCCACTGTGGCCTGATAAGATATTTCATATAATTTTGATTTTTAAAAAACTTATTGAGACTTTTTTAACTTTTATTTTAGGTTCAGGTGTATATGTGTAGATTTGTTATATAGGTAAACTGTGTGTCATGTGGGTTTGGTGTATAGACTATTTCCTCATACAAGTAATAAGCATAGTACCCAATAGGTATTTTTTCTGATCATCTCCCTCCTTGTACCCTCCACCCTCCAGTAGGCCCAAGTGTCTGTTGTTTTCCTCTTTGTATCCATGTGTGTTCATGGTTTAGCTCCCACTTTTGAGTGAGAATAAGTTGTATTTGGTTTTCTGTTCGTGCATTAGTTTCTTAGGGTAATGGCCTCCAGCTCCATCCATGCTGTTGCAGAGAACAGGATCTAATTCTGTTTTATGGCTGTGTAGTATTCCATGGTGTATATGTACAACACTTCCTTTATCTAGTCTACTGTTGACGGGCATTTGGGTTAATTTCATGATGTAGAATTATGTCATCTGCAATTAGGGATAGTTTGACATCCTCTCTTACTTTTTGGATGCCTTTGATTTCTTCCCCCTGCCTGATTGCTCTGGCCAGGACTTCCAGTACTATGTTGAATAAGAGTGGTGAGATAAGGCATCCTTGCCTTGTGCTGGTTTTCAAAGGGAATGTTTCCAGCTTTTGCCAGTTCAGTGTGATGTTGGCTGTGGGTTTGTCAGAGATGGCTCTTATTATTTTGCGGTAGCTCCTTCAATGCCTAGTTTACTGAGGGTTTTTAACATGAAGGGATCTTCAATTTTACCAAAAGCCTTTTGTGCATCTATTGAGATAACCATGTGGTTTTTGTTTTTACTTCTCTTTATATGATGAATCACATGTATTTATTTGCATATATTGAAACAGTCTTGGATGCCAGGGATAAAGCATACTTGATCATGGTGGATTAGCTTTCTACGTGTTGCTCAATTTGGTTTGCTAGTATTTTCTTGAAGATTTTTCCAACTGTGTTCATCAAGGATATTGTCCTGAACTTTTCTTTTTACCTTTTACTGGTTTTGGTGTGCATCTGCAAGGATTTGGTATCAGGATGATCCTGACCTCACAGAACAAGTTAGAAAGGTCCCTCCTCCTCAATTTTTTGGAACATTTTCTGTATAAATGGTACCAGCCCTTCTTTGTGCATCTAATATAATTCAGCTGTGAATCCATTTAGTCCCTGGCTTTTCTTGTTTGGTAGACTTTTTATTACTGCTTCAATTTTGGAACTCATTATTGGTCTGTTCAGATATCCCATTTCTTTTTTGTTCAGTCTTGGGTGGTTGTATATTTTCAGGAATATATCAATTTCTTCTAAATTTTCCAGTTTGTGTGCACAGAGGTATTTATAGTAAGTCTCTGAGGATTTTTTTTGTATTTCTGTGGGTTAGTGGTAATGTCCCCTTTGTCATTTGTAATTGTGTTTATTTGGATTTTCTCTCTTTTGTATCTTTGTTAGTCTAGTTAGTGGTTTATGTTATCTTATTATTTTTTTCAAAGAACAAAATCATGGATTCCTTTTTTTTTTTAACTGGGGTTAGATAAAAAAGAGCATTACATAATAATAAAGGGTTTAATTCACCAAGAAGACCTAACTATCCTAAATAAATATGCACCCAACAGAGGAGCACCCAGATTCATAAAGCAAGTTCTTAGAGAACTATGATGAAACTTGGATTTATACACAATAATAGTGAGAGACTTCAACATTATACTGACAGTATTGGACAAATCATCAAAACATAAAATTAACAAAGATATTCAAGACCTGAACTCACACTTGACCAAATGGGCCTAATACACATTTACAGAACTCTCCAACCAAAGACAACAGAATACACATTCTTCCCGTCTGCACATGCACATGCTTTAAAATTGACCACCTAATCAAATATAAAAAAATCTCAGAAAATTGAGAAAAAAAAGAAATCATACTAAAATTGACCACATAATCAAACATAAAACAATCTTCAGCAAATTGAAAAAAGTGAAATTATACCAGCCACACTTGGACAGCACGATAGTAAAAACAGAAATCAATACTAAAAAATTCAATCATATAATTACATGGAAATTAAACAACCTGCTCCCAAATGACTTTTGGGTAAATAATAAAATTAAGGCAGAAATCAAGAAATTATTTGAGACTAATGAGACCAAAGATAGTACATATGAAAATCTTTGGGACACAGCTAAGTCAGTGTTAGTATTGAAGTTTATAGCATTATATGCCTACATAAAATAGTTTGGAAGATCTCAAATTAACAACCTAATCTCACAACTAGAGAAACTGGAGAAGCATGAGCAAACCAACCCCAAACATGTCAGAAGACAAAAATAATCAAAATCTGAGCTGAACTGAAATAAAATAAATTGTACATGTTTTTTGGCCTATCATATGGGCTGATATGGTTTGGCTCTGTTTCCCCATCCAAATCGCATATTGAATTGTATTCCCATAATTCCCATATGTTTTGGGAGGGACCCAGTGGGAGATAATTGAATCATGGGAGTGGTTTCTCCCATACTGTTCTCATGGTGGCGAATAAGTCTCACGAGATCTGATGGTTTTATAAGGATAAGCCCCTTCACTTGGTTCTCATTCTCTCTCTTGCCACCGCCATGTAAGAAGAGCCTTTCGCCTTCCACCATGATTGTGAGGTCTCTTTAACCATGTGGAAGTGTAAGTCCAGTAAATCTCTTTCTTTTGTAAATTGCCCAGCCTTGGGTATGTCTTTACTAGCAGTGTGAAAATGGACTAATCCATGGTCTATCTTAGAAAATGTGCCATGTGCTGACGAGAAGAATGTAAATTCTGCATTTATTGGGTAAAATGTTCTGTAAATACTTTTAGGTCCGTTTGTTCTAGAGTTCAGTTTAAGTCCTTGTTCACTTTCTGCTTTGATGCTCTGTCTAGTTCTGTCATTGGAGTGTTGAAGACGCTCACTATGATTGTGCTGCTGTCTACCTCTTTTCCTAGGTCTAGTAGTAACTGTTTTATGAATCTGGGAGCTTCAGAGTTAGGTGCAGGTATATTTAGGAATGTAATATCTTCTTGTTGGATGTATCCTTTTATCAATATATTAATATAATGACCTTCTTTGTCTTTTCTTCACTGCTTTTGCTTTACAGTCTGTTTTATCTGATATAAGAATTGCTACTCCTGCTTATGTTGTTTTTATTGTTTGAACAGACCATTATGTGTTAGATTAAGAATTTTTATAAATTGGCTGGGCACGGTGGCTCATGCCTGTATTCCCAGCACTCTGGGAGGCCAAGACAGGCAGGTCTCTTGAGACCAGGAATTCAAGACCAGCCTAGGCAGCATGGCAAAACCCTGTTTCTACTAAAAAATACAAAGATTAGCTAGGAGTGGTGGCACATGCTTGTAGTCCCAGCTACTGGGGGATGGAGGGGGTTAGTTGAGAGGCTCACCTGAGCCTGGGAGGTCAAGGCTGCAGTGAGCCATGATCACACCACTACACTCCAGCCTGGGTGACAGAGTGAGACCCTGTAAAAAAAAAAAAAAAAAAAAAAAAAAACACAAAACTAACAAAACAAAAAGAAGAAATTAAAAAAATTAATTTATCTAAATTTATTCCTCCTCTAGTGCTCTTCCTTTCGTTACATAAATCAAACTTTCCAAAGTATACAATTTTCTTTTTTTCTGAAGATGTTTCAATGTTTCTTGCGATGCAGGTCTACTGGTATGGTAACAAATTACCTCAATTTTTGTTTGAGAAAGTTTTTATTTCTCCTTCACTTTTAAAGGGAAATTTTCCTGGAGACAGAATTCTAGGTTTGTGGGGTTTTAAATATACATATTTTTAATTCTTGTGGTTAGATAGTAGGGGTATACATTTATGGTGTTTTCTTTTTCAACACTCTAAATATTTCATTCTACTCTCTTCCTGTTTGCCTGGTTTCTAAAGAGAAATCCAGTGTAATTATTATCTTTGTTTCTGTATGAAAATAAATTTTTTTCTCTGTCTTCTTTCCAGATTTTCTTTTTGTGATTGGTTTTCTGCAGTTGGAATATGATATGGGTATTTGTAGATTTTGGTATTTATCCTACTTAGTGTTTGCTGAACAATTTGTGGTTTGGTGTTTCTCATTAATTTTGGAAAACTCTCAGTCATTGTTATTTCAAATATGTCTTCTGTTCTTTCATCTTTTTCTTCTCTTTGTCACACAGTTCTTAGTCTATTCTGTTATTTTATTTCAGTCAACGTTTCTCTTTTTTCAGCTTGGGAAGTATGTGTTGAAACATCTTCAAGCTTACTGATTCTTTCCTTGGCTCTGTGTATTCTATTGATGATTTCATATAAGATACTCTTCATTTTGTTGGAGTTCTTTTTTTTTTATCCCTAGCATTTTCTTTTGATTTTTTCTTAGGGTTTCTACCTTTCTGATTAGCTATCTCACGTGTTCTTCATGATGTTCATTTTTTCCATTCTCTTAGTATATTAGTTGTTTTTTTAAGTTCTCAGTCTGATAATTCTAAAATATCAGCTATGTCTGAATTTGGTTCTGTTGTTTGCTCTGTCTCTTCAGATTGTGTTACTTGATTTTGTTTATGTTTGCATTTTTTTTCGTTTAAAGCCAGAAATGATGTAATAGGAGAGACTGAAGTAAATAGGCCTTTGGTGATAGGTTTTATGCTGATCTGGCTGGGAGTTAGGCTATCATAAATGGTTGCTCGACCTGTGGCATTAGTGTCTACATTTTCCTCTAGTCTTGTTTCTCTCCTCCTTGTTTTTGCTTCTCCCTAGAGAACCTGTCATAAATAGGGTCTGAAAATTCCAGCTCTTTAAGCTGTAATCCCCCTTTGTTATACAGGAGCACTACTGTGGCGATAGTTAAATGTGAGCAAACAAACATTCTATAATCTTATGATTAGGTCTTAGTCCCTTAGTGAGCCTGTATCCTTGGGCTGTGACTTTCACAAGTGATTTTTAGCTCCCATAAGTCCTTAGGTGAGACAGGAGGCTTAAGGCTGCTGGAATTGTACTGTTCTTTTCCCCTCACATAAAAGTTAGAGGGTGTTGGAGGTTAGTATATCCCTTTCCCCAGGTCAGTTAGGCTCTAGCAAAACCAAGTAGTTTACCCTCTGGTAAAACAGTTTTCTTTGAGGACAGGCCTTCAGGAGAACAGAGCACTATGAGCATGTTTCAAAGTTGTTACTTTTCCTTTCCCCTTACTAGAAACATGAGGGGAATTTTATCATATCTTCACCCTGAGAATCTGGTATGGCTCCTAGAAATAAAACTCATGAAAGTGTAGGGGCCCCATAAGACAGGGCCCCCATGAGTTTTTGTCTCTCGAGCTAGATCTACAGTGAGTCTCCTGCAATTACTCAATTATCTTTTAAATGCTTCTACCAGGATCTAGCTGTGGCTTCTTCTCCTTATGAGCTGTGCTGCCTTTCTCTCTAGTTTCCAGCATGGTGGAGCTCTGTGACCTCAAACTCTGATGGCTTTAATAAGTTAGATTTTCAGTTTGTTTATCTTTTTTCTAGTTGCAAGGATGGGAGTAATGACTTCCAAGCTCTTTACATGTCAGACTAGAGGCCAAAGTCTTCTAAATTACCCTCTTTATAACCTGAATCTACTTTAATCAGTCCTTTTTTAACTTTTCATAACATAATATTTATAACTTTTCTGGCATTCCTTTCATTTGCTTTTGCTTAACATTTCATTTTGTATGGGACATTTTATGCTTGAGATTATAACCACTTTAAAGTATCACACCATAACTTATTTTTGTATGCTTAATAACTGACCAATTTCACTAAGATTTGGAACATCATATTAAAATGTCTTAGAATTCCTCTGTTGCCTTCATCCTAAGGTAGAATGGGAGAATAAAAGTGTCAGGGAAGAGAGTAATGAAACCCTATCCTGGATTATCCATTTGTAAGAAAAGTAAGATATATACAAAAGTAATATACACAAGATCTGCTTTGCTGCAGAAAGACTTGTGAGTCTTTGAAGTCCCTAAAACATCATGTAAACCTGAATTTGTATACATTAGCTATAGTGTGATTGCTAAGTAATAATACTACTTGTGATATATATAGTACTTACTATATGCAATTCACTGTTAACATATTTTATTTTATTATCCTGAGATCTCACGGTAACCTTAAGTGGATGTATTTTTATCCACAGTCTATAGTTGTGGATATTAAGACTTGGAAAGGTTAGGTGACTTCTCCAACGTCTAACAATGATGTAGAATTCAAAACATGTGGCCGGGTGTGGTGGCTCACACCTGTAATCCCAGCACTTTGGGAGGCCTAGGCGAGTGGATCACCTGAGGTTAGGAGTTCAAGACCAGCCTGGCCAGCATGGTGAAACCCCGTCTTTATTAAAAATACAAAAAAATTTAGCTGGACGTGGTGGCAGATGCCTGTAATCCCAGCTACTTGGGAGGCTGAGGCAGGAGAATTGCTTGAACCAGGAGGCGGAGGTTGCAATGAGCCGCGATCACGCCATTGCACTCCAGCCTGGGCAACAAGAGCAAAACTCCATTTAAAAAAAAAAAAAGAATTCAAAACATGTGGAATTCAAACACAAGTTTGTGTGACTTTAGCCAATATTCTTAACTACTGTGCTACATAACCTCCCATGTACCTCTACTTATGTACCTCTACTTTCCACGTACCTCCCATGTACCCTTATATGTATTTAAGATTTAACCATTTAATATCAGAAGGGGAGGTAAAGAGGGAAAGTGAGTCCTTCTTTACCTCCCCTTCTGATATTAAATTGTTAAACTTTATTGAAGAAAAATAGACTAAGCCCTGCCAGCCAAAGGTTTCTAGTAGGTCTTGGATAGTATTTTGTTCAACACACCCAGTTTTGTGAGGACAGTATACATACTATTGGTTAGCAGGTGGTTCTGCTGCAGTGGATTGAGGGTTGGAGCACCCCCAATGCCTGGCTGGCCAGCTAGGGCTGCATGAGCAATTCCATGTTGGGGTCCAGGTGCAGCAAATGGAGACTGCATCTTATCTTTATCCCAGGAGGATTCACTTCCACCTGAAAAATATTCATATAAACATATTTCAACTTGACAACTTTCATAAGAAGGCTTTTTAAAATTCCCTTTTAGGGCTGTAATCATGAATACTACCTCTTAGGAAATTATTATTGAACACAGTTAACTCATTTTTATGACAGTTTCAAAAACTTTCAATAGTCTAGAGATGTAAGCTGCCTCTGGGAAGGCCAAATCATTCTCAATAATAGTATAGGCACTCTTGACTTGTTGGTAGTCTCAACAAATCTGGAATCATAATGAATAGCTTTTAGAAGCACTTACATGTTGAGGAACATTAATTGACCACCACTGCCTTGTATTCTAAACCTTTAACATACATATACTATATTTTAAAGGACTGTACTGATCACTGAAAAAGAACACACTCATTTGTAAGAGCATGATAACATGCAAAAATACATGGTAAGAAACAAAATGATCTTTTCTTCTCAGGTCACTCAGAGAAGCAAATCTATTCATACACACTAGAGTTTTGTGTAAAATAAGCTGGACAAAAATAGGAAACCATTGCTTCCAGTTTGAAATTATACTTACCTTGATCCTTCATGCTAGAGAGTGAGGTAAAGTGTGTATAAATGCAGAATACTATATTATCATGATCTACATTGGCATAGCTATTTTATCTGGTATCTAGCATACTATGGGGGATAGAACCATTGCTTAAAACCATATGGAAAACAAACACAGAATAATTTCCAGGGCATTCTTTCAAGAGAATACTTTAAACAGGGGAGTAAAGGGTGGGATTCCAATCACTGCAGGAGCACATAGTCTGGCTTTAGAAAACAAAATGGTTGTGCAGGCAGCTTCATCTATTTGCTTGATGTGCTTCATTCATTCAGGGGTCAGTGGTTCTGCCTCCATTCCCATGCTGGGACTGCAACATTAGCACTCTACCTGGCTGACACCATCCCACTTACTGCCTAAAACTCTGACACTGTGTGTGGGGTTTAGGCTTGGGACTCTTGGGAGCTCTGTAAAATACGTATATTTAATGTTTTTTTTAATGTAGAAAAATCAACATACTCATATCCGCAACATTGAAAATTGTGTTTATTTTCACTTCTTTGAGTTCCCTCCCACACTTTGTTCATATGGATACCCATTTTTACATTATAAGCAGTCTGTCATGTTGCTTCATATCTACAAAGTGTAATGACTATCAAACACTGGACATTGCTTCCAATTGTCACTATTATAGTCTACATTATAACAAAAACATTCATTTAAATTATTTCCTTAGAATCAATTAATTCCCTGAGTGGAATTTGAGTCAAAGGGGACAAACATTTTTATACTTTTATTTCAAAAACCACATTTGCAAAAGCAGTTTTGAGAGTTGTAAACTTTTCAGGGAAATGTCTTCAGGCCCAATTGGCATTCCTCCTCAAGATTTAACATTTATTCAAGCAAATTACATGCTAAGAATCTCTGAAAGGATTGTTTAAGCTTCCTGTCCGCTCATCCACTTTTACTCCAGTCCTGAAGAGGAAGAACCTTACTCCAGTCCTCCTCTTCAGTATTCTTTCAAGCTCTTTTGTGGCCAAAGTCAATCTGTAATCCAAAAGTGAGAGTCTTGACTAGCTTCCAACTAGATGAGCTGAGATAAGGAAACACTGGATTCTAGCACAGTATATGTAAAGATTGAAGGGTATCTGGCCCTGCTGATATGGACACAGATTTTCCAATCAAACGTGGGAAGAAATTAGCAGTTACTTGTTGGGGTCCTGCTATAAGCCATTCAGATAAGATGGCATGAAAGCTTAGTATGTAGGAAATTTGGTTGAATTTGATAGACTGGTTTAATGGACCAGAAATCATTCCCTTGATCATGTTGAGGTCTGCTATGTTCATTGAAAACATGCAATACTTCTATGATTACCACTTGTTCTCTCTTTTCATCCAGATGTTGGCTGTTGTACAGCATGTGCTTAAGAGCAGGGAGGTAATTTATGGTTTGGTGCATTGACATATTTTAGTGTTAACAAATTTGAAGTTTCAATTAAAATCAATAAGACATTGTTATACTGTAATGAAGAGAGATGGTGGGGGAAGGGAGTATTTTAATAAACTATGAAAGTAACCACTGCAACACTGAGAATTCTTTATAGAAACATTAGGCCAATAAACATGATTAATACCAGAAAATGCAAAAATTTGAAAGATCAATTGCTGAGCAAAAATGGAAGCACTACATCATTTTAGCACTATGTTCAAGATATGAATTACCTCACCATTGCAGAACTGTAATTTATAAAATGAGCAAAATATTGACAAAAGAAGATACATTTAGAAGACATTAAATTATACAATATGATAATAACATAGTACTGCACTATCACAGCAGCAACAGCAACACAGCAATATTGGAGCTGAGATTATATCAATATTTATTTTATAAATTTAAAACTGTTTAGTCTACATTTAATATGAAATGGTACATTAGGTAGTATTCTCATGGTTTGTGTATCACATTTTCCAAATAAGCTTGAATAGAAATGTTTTTAAAATCTTATCAAAGGATTTCAATGTGGTTTTGTGTATGTTTTGGTGAGAACTTTGGATACACTTTTTCCAACAGCTCACACCTTTGTTAACTACTATGTTAATGACAGAAAAGGTGGGGCGGGTGGAGGGGGGAGGGGTAGCATTAGGAGATACACCTAATGTATGACGAGTTAATGGGTGCAGCACACCAACATGGCACATGTATACATATGTAACAAACTTGCACGTTGTGCACATGTACCCTAGAACTTAAAGTATAATAATAAAAAAAAGAAAAGGTAGTTTCCATCTCCTCCCACCTCCACCAAATGTGGATGTAAGTATTATCCTGCAATGTAACGGCAACTGTATATGAATCGAGCGGCTGAGGAGTGTGGAACATTCTAGATATTTGGATTAGGAGGTATGAATGCTCTGAACACATTTTTGTCTTTTGACCTAAATCTCTCATCATTTTTAAGTGTAAACATTAATTATGACTCAATCTGGAATGTTCAGCGGCCCCAATATTTGCATTTTTTATGCCTCTTTGTCAAGATGCAGTAATACCCATTGCCCTTAAAACTAGCAAAGTATTTTGACTAATCTAAGCTACAGTCAGCCTTTTATTAACCACTATTTTGAAGGCTTGGGTATCCACTTTCCTCATCCTATCTATCTGTCTGTCTGTCTACCTCCAAATGCAGTAGTTAGCTAAGGCTGCCACAGACAGGATGGCTTAAACAACAAGAATTTAGTTTCTCACAGTTCTGGAGGTCAGAAGTCCAAGATCATGGTTTTGGCAGGTTTAGTTTCTCCTTAGGCTTTCCTCTATGGTTTGCAGATGACTGTGTTTTCCCCTATGTCCTCACATGCTCTTTCCTCTGTGCGAGTTCATGCTTGGTAACTCTTTTATGCACAAGTTTCCTCTTCTTATAAGAACTCCAAGCAGACTGGATTAGAGTCCACTCTAGGCCGGATTTATTTATCCATTTAAATTGTTATTATTTTTAATTTTTGTGGGTACAGAGTAGGTGTATATATTTATGGAGTACCTGATATGTTTTGATACAGGCATGCAATGTGAAATAAGTACATCATGGAGAATGAGGTATTCATCCCCTCAATCATTTATCCTTTGAGTTACAAGCAATAGAGTTAGATTCTTTATTTTAAAATGCACTTAATAACCTCCTTAAAAGCCTTAGCTACAAATACAGTCACAGTTCAAAGTAACTAGGGGTTAGGGCTTCAATATCTGAATTTTAGGGGTACATGATTCAGCCCATAACACTAAAGTATGCACATTTGTCAGAACCAGACCATACTAGCTTTGTGAGGGAATTCCTCCAGTAAAGAGGAGAGAAACTGAACAGCATTTTTAACAAGGCATGACTAAGAGGCTAGCAGGGTAGGCAGTTGGCTTGGGAAAATAAAGTAACCTCTTTAAGTCTTCAAGAAATTTTGTATTAAGTATAAACGTAACCCAACACAGTCCTAAGTATGTAAAGATAATGTAGAAAATGGAGCAAATCCTCATTAACTGAATAATTTATTTGAGCTTTTCCATATCAACTACTTATCACTGTTTTAGCACAATATTTAGTAAAACTAAATTGATGACAATAAAGAGTGTAACACAATAAACAGTACTACAAGCAACTATTGCTACATTAACACTAACTAATTTAATCCCAACTTTACCAATAAGAAAGCTAGAGAGAACTACATTTTTTATAAGCCCTTACTTCGTAGAAATATATATTCTTAGTTAGAATCAGTGTAAGAACAATAAAGTGATTCACTATGGGGAAATATTAATTTAACAAGGCATCAGACAAACTTCTGTTGCTTTAGTCAGAAACTCTTTAGTTTGCAATTTAGACCTTTTTAAAAAACTCATTTTAAAATGTTAGGGTTCCCAGAAGGTTATTTGTTTTTGTTGCATTTTCTTTGTAGGATAAGTGGGTAGAGGACAGAGACCTATGAATCATGGGGACCTTACAACAGAAACATGGAATTTAAGACAAAAAAAGGACCTTTTTATCCACTTAGTTAAAAATAATAACTTGAAAAAGGAGCAGGAGCATATTATGGGTGGGACCCAAAGCAGTATTTTAATGTTTTAATTTGCTAAAATTTTGTCTAATTAGCACTTCCGCATTTCCCATTCTAATAACACAATGCTTATTATGGTCAGGTTTGTGAAAAGCAATAGCAAAGATCATTATGATGTGTTCCAAACAAATTAGCATAAGCCTACAAGCTAAAACACCCAAACACCAAAATGTTTCAAATGGGTATAAAGGAAATCCAGCAGTAAGGTTCTAAATAAAAATTCCAAGCAATCATTCTTCACCTTAGCACCGTGTTGTTAAGAATGAGTGAAGGAAGCTAATAAAATATTCACTGAAGAGAATCAAGACAATTTAGTAAACA
The DNA here is from genome assembly GCF_000001405.40 of Homo sapiens. Taxonomy (NCBI): domain Eukaryota; kingdom Metazoa; phylum Chordata; class Mammalia; order Primates; family Hominidae; genus Homo; species Homo sapiens. Next base: position 86,690,072 of record NC_000023.11, on the reverse strand, counting down.
GTCTTCCTCATCCACCTATAGGGATCAGTGATCCTCTTTATAAATGCATAAGCTTTAATTTCTGTAGGTTTGAGTTTCTAAGACTACTAGAATTGTGTGAGTCATATGCAAGAGTTTCATAATATAAAAATGATCTCTGTCTTATGAATTCAAGTGGAGTGTAACTTTTATTATTTTAGAGGAATACTATAGTAGCAGTTGCTACTACATTTTGCAATGTACAAATTTAAAAGCCACCTACTAGGAAAAATATATAAGGTAATTATTAAATTCAAAACTATGGCCTTAACTGTGAAAAATAGAAGTGTTTATAAAAAGCTGTACTTACATTGAAACTTTTCTAGCTACAACAAAACATATAAGTCAGATTATTTGAAAATATGGGTCTAAATTGATCATGTTTCCAGTAATCTTATGTGCATAAGGCAAAGAAAAAGAAGCCAAATGGGAAGAGGTCTATGTAGCATACAGCCTAAATCGAGCTTGTTCTCTCAGCCATAGAATATTTGTTTAGCTAGAATCTTAGATAAATGCACATTGTTTGATGAATCTACACAGCATGAAGCATTTTGTAGTAGAAAAATATTTTAAATCATAATTAAACTTTAAAGACTTCATTTTTTGTAAATAATAATATAGTATAAGTGTGTGTAGCGGGGAGGTGTACACACACACATATAGACACAAATTCAGGGTTTAGTGTATTGTAAAGTGCTAACACATGAATGGAAAACGAGGCATGTATGTGTAAAGGTGCTATACTCTACAACCTTATCATATTATTCTTTTATTTGCTTTTCCTGTATGCATTCAGAAAATAGAATATTCAGCAGTTTATCAGACCGGTGACATCAGTAGTGCAATCATGCACTGTATCTGAAATTTGAACCAATATGGATAGAAAATAGATAATAATTATTCATTTTAAAATATTGAGAAGGTCTCAACTAGTTTATCTCCTCTTTTACTTTAAAACATTACCTAGGAAGAGCCACACCACAGGGTGATGGTCTAGGAATTTCAAGTTTAATCAGAGGTATAATAGCAGCTAATTGATGAGCCTCTAGGGCTGCACTTGCCAATATAATAGCCACTAGTCACCTGTGGCTATTTAAATATAAGTTTTAATTAATTAAAGTAAAGTAAAAAGAATGAAAAAATTCAGCTGCTCAGTTGCAATAATCACATTACAAGTGCTCAAAGTCCACATGCAGCTAGGGACTATCATATTGGGAAGTACAGATATTGATAATTTACTTCCTTGCAGAAAGTTATACTAGAAAGTGCTATCCTAGAGGATAAGCAGTTTGTGTAAAACAATTTAAAACACAGGTATCTACAGCATCTTCAATTCAACATGTCTGAAACTAAATTGACCATTATTCAATGAAAGAGATCTTGCTCCTTTATTTCCTGTATCTGTTAGTGGCATAATGCAATTGTTTCAATGGGAAATTTTTGAGTACTTAACATGTGTCAGGTGCTATTTGCAGGTACTGAGAATATAGAAATAAAAGGCAAATCCCTTGCCCTCAAAGATCTCTCAGTCTAATAAAAGTATCATTATCATCTCTTTAACCATTCACTCTGTGCTTAAGTGGCCAAATTATCTGGAATTGACTTTACACTGGGTTCCCTTCCATTCCCACTGACACTGCCTTTGTTTGAACCCTCATTACTCTCTCACATTACAATCATCTCAAGAGACTCTTAACTGACTTTCCTACTACTAGCCTCATCTCCTCCAATTGGCCCTTGACATAACGACTGAAATAAACATGAAAAACAAAAATAAAGAAGATGGAGTATCAGAAAGGACAATTTAAAAAGAAGAGAATAAAACTGAGCAGAGCAGTACCCAGGAAGAAAGAAAAGAATACCTTGGTTGCATGACCAGAATGTTTATATACAAACCTTCAAAGGGTTCTAAGAAATGTGCTAAGACTCTGAGAGAGTGTGATGGATGGACCAACTTGCACTACAAATGTTGTATGAATACATAAGCATTATCTTCTTTCTTTCTTTTTTTTTATTATACTTTAAGTTCTAGGTTACATGTGCAGAACGTGCAGCTTTGTTACATAGGTATACACTTGCCCTGGTGGTTTGCTGCACCTATCAACCCGTCACCTACATTAGGTATTTCTCCTAATGTTATCCCTCCCCTAGCCCCCCACCCTCTGACAGGCCCCAGTGTGTGATGTTCCCCTCCCTGTGTCCATGTGTTCTCATTGTTCAACTCCTACTTATGAGTGAGAACATGCGGTGTTTGGTTTTCTGATCTTGTGATAGTTTGCTGAGAATGATAGTTTCCAACTTCATCCATGTCCCTGCAAAGGACATGAACTCATCCCTTTTTATGGCTGCATAGTATTCCATGGTGTATATGTGCCACATTTTCTTAATCCAGTCTATCATTGATGGACATTTGGACTGGTTCCAAGTCTTTGCTATTGTGAATAGTGCCACGATAAACATACGTTTGCATGTGTCTTTATCATAGAATGTTTTATAATCCTTTGGGTATATGCCCACTAATGGGATTTCTGGGTCAAATGGTATTTCTGGTTCTAGATCCTTGAGGAATCGCCACACTGTCTTCCACAATGGTCAAACTAATTTACATTCCCACCAACAGTATAAAAACATTTCTATTTTTCCAGAACCTCTCCAGCATCTGTTGTTTCCTTACTTTTTAATGATCACCATTCTAACTGGTGTGAGATGGTATCTCATTGTGGTTTTGATTTGCATTTCTCTAGTGACCAGTGGTGATGAGCTTTTTTTTCATGTCTGTTGGCTGGCTGCGTTATCTTTACAGGCAAACCCACCAACCAAACAAACAAATGAAAAAAATCAAACAAATGACTCTATACTTGTATCATCACCATGATCCAAAAAGATCAGGAGTCAAATTCAAATGTTTCAAAATTAATAGTGAACAAATTTATTTCTGGATTTAAAAGGAACTGATGCTTCAAAGTAGACTTAATAATTAAAAAATATAAGTACTCACCACAGGCTTACTCAAATAAATTGCACCTAACTCATACATATTTCTAAAAATAGGGCTAATATGTTTCACGAAGTAAATGTAAAATTCAAGGAAAGTCCCAAAATCTTTGTTTCTAAATTAAAATGTTGCAAGATGTAAGTATTCCCTGAGTGCCACTTTAAAGCACAGTGGCTAAAACTTAAACATCACATTATTGAGTTTCAAAGATTAGTTTAGTTGTAGAAGGAATTGTATCACAAGTGATGAAGGCACAGTGCTCTTCCATATGACCTGCTGAGTGTGATGATATAGTTGGAGAAACTCTTGCAAACTATTAGTTTGCATAACTTAAAATACACTCTGGTTAAAAGATATTTTATTGTAGACATGAAGAAAATGGGGTTTTGCCAGATATTATTTTGCAATTTCAAATGATAATCTTATTCACTCTCCTATGAAACCCCCAAATTTTTAAATTGTCATATTTATCTTGGTATTATGTTATGTTGCCTGGAGCAGAAGTTTTTTTAAAAAAATACCCTTCAATTACTGGGCATGGTGGCTCATACCTGTGATCCCAGCGCTTTGGGAGGCCGAGGCGGGTGGGTCACGAGGTCAGGAGATCAAGACCATCTTGGCCAACATGGTGAAACCCTATCTCTACTAACAATATAAAAATGAGTTGGGCATGTTGGTGCGCACCTGTAGCCCCAGCTACTCGGGAGGCTGAGGCAGGAGAATTGCTTGAACCCAGGAGGCAGAGGTTGCAGTGAGCTGATATCATACCACTGAACTCCAGCCTGGCGACAGAGTGAGACTCCGTCTCAAAAAATAAATAAATAAATAAATAAATAAAATAAAAATACCCTTCAATTCTATCTAAGCTCTCTGCTGTGGCAAGTACAGAAAAATTTGTTTATGTGTGACAAGACACTTTTTGGAAATTTGAATTCATTTCTTGCTAGTGTAAGTATTGCAAGTTGAAAGACTCGAAAAATCTGAGTTCAAGACAGTGATAGCATTTTCTTATCTGAATTTGAGTTCCTTCTTTCATTCTTAATAACATGTGGTCTGTCTAAATGACAAACATATTATCAAGTCACTTCGCAGTAAATAATCATGTAATACCACCAATATAGCTTGGATATTTGTCCCCACCCAAATCTCATGTTGAATTTTAATTTCGAATGCTGGAGGTGGGGCCTGGTGGAAGGTGTTAGGATCATGGGGACGGAACCCTTATGGCTTCGTGCTGTCTTCCTGACAGTGAGTGAATTCTTGCAAGATTTAATTATTTTAAAGTGTGTGGAACCTCGCCCTCACCCTCTCTTCATTGCTACTGCTTTTGCCATGTGATGTGCCTATTCCCCCTTTGCCTTCCACCATGAATAAAAGCTCCCTGAGGCTTCACCAGAAGCCAAGCAGAACCACCATTTATCGTTTTCCTCTTTTGTCATATTTCTGAACTATTGAACAATTACTGAGAATACAGGCAAATTATTTATTTTAAAGAGCTAGTTCCTAGAATTTATAAGCTGTGACATGTGCTCTTGTAAGATATATCTTAAATTGGAGTTACTTAAAATGAGGTTATGCATACCCTAGAAAATGTAAAAGCTGACCTACAAAGATAGAGCAAGATATTTGAGTTTTAATATTTATTTTATATGTAACCAAAAAGTAAGTACAACATTATGTGTCACTAATATTTAAGATATGAACCATCACTGATGCCTTCACCACTCAATCATTAGAGGAATCCAGAGGAAAAAAAGAGTAGGAGTTTTCAGCAGGGCAGTGGTTGGCCATTGGCAGCCCTAGACTTTTATTTATTCTGACCTCATTGTGATATGTTCTATGTACACTCAACTGAGTGGATTCAATAAACTAGCCTTTACAAAGTGAACAACACAATACAACCTCAGATTGAAGACAATAATGCAAGCACAGGAGAAGAGATATAAAATAGCAGAGCTGATACTTCTACTCAATGTAGGAACTCTGTCACCTTCATTAAGAAGTAAAATATTGTAAAGGTCATCAGTTTTGATGTATTAATCACATTGTCCTCACTGATACTAAGAATATATGTTTTAAAAGTTTTATGTAATTAATAAAATTTATTAGTTAAAATCTTGTTTAATCTTCTTAATTATTTCTATTTAATTTCTATTTTGTGTGCATATGTTAGTACATGTATACAGCTCGAAATTTACTTTATGTATACTAAAAGAGCATACTTATTATTTACCTGATAGAGTGTATGAACATAGAGTTTCAATGACTGCCTTGAATTACAAAAAATTTAAATGGCACAAATTTACAGTTTTTTTCATAATCAATCAGAAAATTTTTAAAAATATACATTGTAATATTATATATTTACAACACTCATTTTTCATAGATCAACTAAGAAGATGAAAAATTAGTGTTGTAAAAGTGTAATATTATGGATGTATATTTACCTACTCATAATATAATTTAAATAGATTTATCTACTTGTAACATAATTTAAGTATATATACCTACCCATAACATAATTTAAGTATATATACCTACATAATTTATTTTCCTACCCATAACATAATTTAAGTATATATACTTACCCAAAGCATAATTAAAGTACTTTTTCTATTACACTGTTAATTTAACCAAATACGCCATGCTTTAGAAGCTAATGAATTAAACCAAAAAGCAGAGGGCAAGACTGGCCACATAGAAGGAGGCAGAATAATTCATCTCTTCTTTTTATCCCTGCACACAAAGTAATATCATTTCTGTAGGTATAAATATCTTCCTGTCAGTGCAATTCTTACAGCTATCAAAAAATTATTTAGGGAAACCATAATGCAGTCTCTAGACAACAGAATTCATGTTGACCAATAAATCGATATGAAAGCATTATGATCTTTTGTGGCCAATGGTGAGAGTTAATTATTACTCACACAGAAAGTTTTCTTGTTGAGATTTCAGCTTGTCTGTATGCTTTGGAGTGGCGAGGTTAAAGTGATCTTACTTGACTGGTAGTGGTCAACTGGCAAAGTTCTATGAAAGTGGCAGATAGAGACCGACGCAAAATAGAGAGGGAAGAATTGTATCCTTCAAAAAATCCTAATAGCATAGTGGAAGGAGCATCAGACAGACCTGATGTTGAATTCTGGCCACTCTATTTAATATCTATGGGCTTTGGAAATGACATTAGGGTTCTTTGAGTCTGAGTTTCTTAATATCTGATATGGAAATATAATCTACCTACTCTAGGGTTGTTTTAAGGATTAAATGGGACAGAATATGTAAAGCAATACAATATCTAGACATATCAAGCACTAAATAAGTGTAAGCTGTTATCATTTAAGTTTTTTTAGAATATAAAGGACAAAATAGGGTATTAACTTTATTAACTTGTCTATAGGGTGACTACCTTTTTAACTATACTACTAACAAAAGATGATGAAGACCACTAGTGACCCCAAGAATTAAAGGAATAATTTGCAAAGGTAAAGCTCTATTATTTTTGCAGTTAACCACATTAATTTTCATGGCCATGTGCAAAAAACTTGTTGCTCTTAAAGCAGATTGTATAATAGGATACAGTAAAACACTGAAAATGAGGACTCCAGATACGGCTTTACTAGGCTACTTCTAATAATGTATCAAGTGGTTCAGCAGTGAGACTAAACAACTATATATAGCCTGTTCTCCTCTTGAGAAAGCAGAAGCAGATGGCTCTTTGTTTTTTCTCTCTGTACAGAAAAGACTGGGTTTGGCTGGTAAACATTGATTATTAATCCTAGGACTTCTTAAAAGAAGAATGATAAGAAAGAACAAAATATTTAATATGAAGAAAGAGGAGAAAGTTGGTAGAAATAATGGAGAATAACTTTTGCCAATAATTTTCATATTGCTGTAAACTGAATACAAGATAAAACAAAAGATAAGAGGAAAGAGGCAAGCATACAACACGAACATGAAAGACACAAAAAAGAAAGAATTTAGGCAAGAAAAAAATAATCATTTTACCCAAATAAAGATAAAACTCGCAGACTCAAATTCACAGAAATCTATAAAACTGGGGAAAATATGACAAATTGAAATACATGGCAGAGCCTGAAATAAAAATACAAAGAGAAAGAAACATGTTTGTTAAGCTGAGGCATTAGACTGAATAATTCTAATTTTATCACCAAAAATTATTCTATATGGAAAAAAAGGATAAGGAAATACAGTTTTTTAATGAAAAATAAAAGTAGAAGAAAATGGAGTAGAAGTAAAATAAATCAATAGATAGAATCAATACATAGCAAGTATAGATTTGACATGGAACATTCACTGGCTCTGGGATCTTAGTGCCTATGAGTGTATGGAATGGATCTTTCACTTGTATTACACTGGGGCTTATGAATTACTGCTGATGATATCAAAGAGATTCATAAATGGATTTTATCACTACACTGAGTAATTAAAACTATAATTATCAGTTACCGGCTGCTGCTTACAAAACACTTACCACATATATGTCTAATACCTGTGAAAATCACATTCACTGAACACACACTGTGAGCCTGAAAAACGCTGAAAGCACACTGGGCACTTGACGTGTGGTAGAAAGTATTCACCTAATCCTCAGAACACCATGTGATAGGTGCTATAATCAGCCACATTTTATAGAGAAAACTGAAACTCAAAAGACTGATTTTCCCACGCTTGTACCACCAGTAAAGAATCAAACCAGGAAAGACTCCAGAACACACACACTAAATCACTATCCTCAATTGTTACTGATACGAGGCATATAAGTGCTTTTAACTGAGGCTTTGACTGTGAATGTGCACAGTTTAGAATCTGAGGAACAAAATGAGGCACTTTGGTGAAGAGAGCTAAGAAAGCGGTAGTTTCAAGGATAGGCTTACTAGACTAGGCTGAGATCTGTAGTGGGCAGACCTGGGAATCATGAAGTATTGAAGGCCTTCAGAGAAAATCCCTCAATTCCAAGTGGCATAGGAAAGCTACTTTCTTATTCACGTCCCTCCTTTAAAGTGAAGTCTTTTTAAAATATAAATGATATGAGTCAATTATGGGTAGTGTTTTCTCTGTCTTTTGAAAATGAGGGTAAGGCTGCAAAGCATCTGAAGGAAAAGGGCCAAGTTGATGCCTGAAGAGAAAAGAGTGGGAAAATAATGGTATTTCTTGGAAGCCAATCACTAAAAGAAGGATAGAACATACAAGGCTTAATTCCACAATTGAAAACAATGATTTAAGTGGAAAAGGCATTATTACTACATCCAATGTGATTAATAACACTTCTTTAATGATCAGAAAAAAATACTAAAAGCCATGGGCTTAAAGTAATGAAAATATATCTAATTCAGAATACAATAAAAATGCCACAAGTAGACTATATATATATAATTATATATAACATATATATATGATATCATGTATATCATATATAATTATATATATATATAGAGAGAGAGAGAGAGGGAGAAAGAGAGAGAGAGAGAGGGTCTCACTCTGTCACCCAGGCTGGAGTGCAGTGGTGCAATCATGGCTCACTAGAGCTTTGAACTCCTGGGCTCAAGTGATCCTTTCAGCTCAGCCTCCCGAATAGCTAGCAATACAGGTGCGCAACACCATGTCTAGCTAATTTTTTCTATTTTCTGTAGAGATGGGGTCTCACTGTTTCCCGGGCTGATCCTGAACTCCTGGGCTCAAATGATCCTCATAAAGTGCAGGCATGAGCCACTGCAGCTGGCCGAGAAAACTTTTTAAACACTGTTTTTATTATACTCAATTCCTGAACTTCTCTTTGAGCAGCTAAAATTATTTTTCAAGTAGTGTGCTAGACAAGCATTAGGAATAAGATTGTCTGCTTTTCTTGACCAAAACAAGAGAACACATCCTTTTCAAGTTGCAGTTTTGTTAATATGAAATGCTTACCATATCATAAAGAAACAAATTCAAGAAAATTATATCAAGCAAGATAGAAAGGAGTCAGACATATAGATAGATAGATAGATAGACAGACACACAGATAGATAGATACATAGATACATATATAGATACATAGATGCATATGGAAGGCATAGTATCCAATCCCTGTCTACTGATGTTAGAAATGTTCGAGGGCAGCTGGATGCAAGGACTGACACCAGTAGCAATGTGGGAGGCTGAGGCAGGAGGATTGCTTAAGGCCAAGGGGTCAAGACCAGGCTGGGCAACATAGCATAGCCCCATGTTTACAAAAAATAAAAATCAATTAAAAAAATAGCCAGCCATGTGGTATGCATCTGTAGTCTCAGGTACTGAGGCAGGAGGATAGCTTGAGTCCAGGAGGTCAAGGCTGCAGTGAGCTATGATCTCACCACTGCACTCCAGCCTGGATGACAGAGTGAGACCCTGTCTCAAAAAAAAAAAAAAAAAAAGAAATGAGTCATTATGAATTCAATAATTAAAATACATTTCCTGTTTGAAAAGGCCATTAGTTTCTTTTAAATAAAACAATGATGAGTATAGTTAAAATATGCACAAAATTTTCAAGTGATTAAGCAGAAGCACTGACTTGCTTTCCAAATGGTCATTCAACACACGTTAGGCAACAGGGCAGTAAAAAATAGTGTCTGGTAATTTGTTTTCATTCCAGATTGTTCCTTTGGACATATTTTTCAAAGAAAAGTATCAAACATTGGATTAACTTATGCAATTTAATACATTAATAGTTTAGCTGCAGTTTTCACTACCTGCACACAATAGATGGATGTTTACAAAATATGATTATATATTTTGTGCTAATGGCTGGATGATAATTATATCTTTAAGAACTTTTAGTTTCTCCAGAGCAGTTACAATAGTTGGAAAAGTTTTAAAGCATGCAGTTATGTTTCAATATTCAATTTCAAAATTCAATTAGATTTGGAAGAGAGAGGAGAAAGATTGATCTTAACAACAGTACAATTTGAGATGTCTGGATCTTTTTAAAAAACGGAATATTTTGCCATCATTAAATTATTTGAGTTGGTCTCTTCATACTATGTATAGTATGCTAACAAGAGAGGGAGTAGAATATAAACAAATGAGTCTATTTTGCCTAAATATAAAAATCTTGTGAATCACTAATAGACTAGGTATTCTTTCACATACAAGCCCGAATTCAGTTGCACAGTATAATTTAGTATGAGATTCTCTATTGGCTACAGCCTACCAAATTTTAATACATAATGACCGTTAAGCTCAGACCCATTCCTGTAAGGAGGAAAGGTTAAATATGCACCAGCACACCACACAGGCTCGGCTTATTAGGGTTGGCAATGCAGCAAAAGTAGCAGACACTTACAGCAAAATAATGTGTGATGCTTTTGGCCAATTTACAGACTTGTTTCCAAGGCTGACAACCTGGCATGGTAAATATATTTGGGAATACACACACACACACACACACACACACACACACACACACACACAGAGACAGAGAGAGAGAGAGAGAGAGACATATAAAACCTATGCCTGGCACTGAAAGCGAAGTCTGTATGCTACAGTTTAACTTTTTGGAGTTTTATAAAATAATAGTAACTTCAAAGTTAATAACATTGCAAAACTATTGGCATTTTAAAGTTTTCATGTGTTGAAAATATTTGTGCATTGTCAACAATAGCAATATGTATGTTTTAGAACTTTGTAGAACAGAAAACAGCACACATCCGAGCTCAAAGTAAAAAGAAATAGTTCTTCATAGATGTGTGTGGGGGTAATTCATACCTACGCATTCACACAAACTTCCTAAGCTCTGCCGTCCTAACAATGCACAATATACAGAGTAGCCTAAGAAACTGGATTTCAAATCAAAAGGCCTTAAAAGCAAGCAATTATTACCTTCCAAAGTTGATTAATGACTCAATTCATACAGTCTTACCTCATGCAGTCTAGACAGTTCAGACATATTTTATAAAGTAAGTATAAAAAATTTAAATTATTGTAGAAATGGAGGTGGGAAAGAACATTTGTGGGATATAACTTGGGTAGGACTGTGTAGGACAGGGAGGATGGTGGAAGATACAGTTGCCTAGGTGTAGCCAAAGAAGGAGAGGATAAAAGGACATGGAGATCTGGAACCTAAGATACCAAGGGAACAGGCAGCTCCATAGTTTTGTCTACTTTTCACCTTCTCTGTTTCTGACCAAGAAATCTAATTTGTGTTCATGCAATTGAATTCAGCACCAATATGTAAATGACAAAGATGAAAGGGATACCACTACTTAAAGCAATGCTACCTATTCTAGAAAATATCAAAGATAAATCAGCTGGCTCTTTTAAAAAGATCTATGACTTGATAATAAAATACTTGAAAGCAGCCTATTTTTTTTTATGTTTCATTTTAATGATTGTTCTTATTTATTTATTTACTCATTCCATCTATGTGATAACATCTATAGTTCATATGCTCCTGAAACTCAAATTCATAAAAGCATACATAAGTTATGTGATTATTTCTGCAAAGTACCAAATCTATTATTGAATGAAAATAAATTATTTACATTTCTATTATAGTATTGATATTTCTGTAAATGACACAAAACATTAATTCTTATTGTCTTATTTTTACCAAGTGAAAACTGTAGTAATTGTAAATGTTTTCAAACATTCTTTTCTCACTAACATGTTTTCTTTTGGCTGTTCAATTTGTTATCCAATTTTGAAACATATTTCCAATTTGGCAATGGACACAATAAATATTTCACAGTCTGTTATTTGATTGGAAAGAAAAATAAATAATATTTTGTCTTTGAATACAGAACATGTATGCCTTGCTTCAAATGGAAATAGGCCACTGATTATCATAAAATATCATGGTCTGAAAAAATTTCATGGTTACAGTGCTCAGTGGGAATATACTATCTAAAAATGTATTATTTTAAGTTGGTGTGAACACCTGCACCCTTGTATTTTTCTTTAAAATCTGGGTTGCATTTTTACCATGTACCACCTTGATTACCTTTAAAAAAATATTAACAGCTTGCATCCTCATACCAATGCCCAGTTACAAACTCCAAATGTTTTGTCACATTTCTTCTGAGCAATGCCATCTGCCAGAGGTGGCATTCATGGCTGTTTACCCTGACTCCCTCCAAGTATTCATCTGCCACTATCTAATGCTGCCTGAATAAAGGGGATTAAGACTCTGATGCAACAGAGACTATTGATAATTTGGTATAATTGGGAAGAAATGAAGATAAATGAGGTTGAGGATGGATAGGCAATTAGTTGAGCTGCCTGTACAGCTGTGTTCTCGGCCTAGCTCCCCTGGCCTTTTCTTCAGTGAGGTATGTGCAAATTAACCATAATGACAAACACACACTTCCCAAAGCTCTTATACTTTATAAAACTTGAGAATTCACTTTTCACTTCTGATAACTCAGTTAGTTGTTTGGTAAAGTTGTTTCTCACACAGTCTCTTAATGTCCTAATTACTGAGGGCTACTACACCTGTTATACTTTAGGACTAATATCCACCTCCAAATACCCAAATTCCTTGCTTTCAGTTGTTGTCAGGCAAGTGTTTACAACCTGAATACAGTGAGAATCTGAAGCCCATTTTACCGTAATTGTGGTCCAGTGTTTAGGACAAATTGGCAGTTCTTTCATTTTTACATGATTAGAAGCCAAGAGAACTCTTCAGAGTGAGTGAAAAGCAGCTTATCTTTTAATTTTAGGAGAATAGTGTGCAAATTGCATTCTTTTTGATAGTTTGTGATGAAAAGGCAGGGCCAGCTTTACAAACATGCTTTAAGGCATCTTTAGAGATTGGCAAAACCAGTATTTTCTAAGGTAAAATTTACATATTTATATTAAGCTTGTTATTTTCATTATTATGCTTCCTAAATGAAAATGGCAACTCTGTCAAAAGTTAAGCACAAATATGTTTAGGCAGCGACTAACTTAAAATATGAAATCTCTTTTTCTAACTACAGAAATGGCTATGTTGGGCATTTAGTTGAGGATGCTAACATAGAAATTAAATATTTTGAGGTGCAGTATCTCCGTTGATATTTTTTCTCTATTTTGCCATGTAAAAATTATTCTTATTATCTCATTTGTAAATATCTCTGTGTGCCTTTGAATTGTTACTTCTTGTGAGAAAACAGTAAAACTAAACTAATAAATTTAGAATATGTAACTGTACTAATCTAGTGTGGGGTGATGGATGCCTTTGCCCACTCTATGAAAAGGAATGTGGCAAGATAAATGCTTTTTCAATCTGTGATTTGTTTCGCTCACAAAACCAACAACCTAAAAGTATTTATTTCAAAACAAACGGTATGCTAATTACAAATGTTGATCAATTCAGGCATATACATGCAGTATGAGGACTCTTTATGGTTACATTCTTATTTCTTGAAAACACAAATTAAATTGTTTGTTTTTTATCTGAGCTGTGTCATATAGTAGCCGCTGGACACATATGTCTATTTAAATTTAAATAAATAAATAAAATGAAAAATTCAGTTCCTCAATCACACCAACCCTACTATGATGGACAGCATGGAAGAACATTTCCATCATCGCAGAAAGTTCTATTGGTCAGTGCTGGTCTGTATTTCAGAGTTACTGCCACCCCATTCATACAAACTAGTGAGGTTGAACTGTAGGCAGACTAGGGATGTAAGAACAGATAAATCAAAGACAGAGCCTTTAGTTTACAAAGGGATTCAGAATTCCTTCAATTTTCTCAGGTGGAGTGCTAGAAGCTTCAGTTTCAATAGGCTTAGTTGATAAACATTAGAAAAACATTATGGGTGTGTTTACAAAGCACCAATGTCTTTTTAAGGTTTTAAGGAACTTTAGAAAAGGTTATTCTTCAGCTAAATATCTGCTATTTTACCCACAATTTCCCTTACATAGCCAAGGTATGTAGTGTGACAATGGCAAGTCATCAGATATAAGTCTTAGGTTATTACTTATTTAAGGTGATGACCATAAAATCAAAGAAATAATATGCTACAATTTCTGGGGAATACTTTGGAAATTAATACTATGCTCAGCTAGTCTGAAAATATTACATGCACATGTGTATGTGCACACACATGTTCAGCAATACAATTCTAAATAAAATCAGAGCAGATTAATATTTTTATCGGAAATTATTTTTCACTGAAATTGTTTCAAAAAGACTTTATTGCATCTTTAAATTTTACTTTTCAATAGGACTGAGGCTCTTGGTTTATAATATAATTTAGAGACTGATAAATGCAATACAAACAAGTTTGATAAGCAGTTTATCTGTAAATATGTTCTCTTACAAATTGTATACTTTTAAGTAAAAAAAGAAAAAAAAACTCTTAATTTCAGACTCATAGCACCAAGTTTTAATGTTAAACATTTTAATATCACTTTTTTTCGAGACAGTGTTTCACTCTGTCACCAAGGCTGGAGTGCAGTGGCACAATCACCACTCACTGCAGCCTCAACCACCCTGGGCTCAGCTGATCCTTCTATGTCAGCCTCCCGAGAAGCTGAGACTATAGGCGTGTGCCACGATGTCCAGCAAACTTTTGTGTTTTTCTAGGGACGATCTCTTGCCATGTTGCCCAGGCTGGTCTTGAACTCCTGGGTTCAAGTGATCCACCTGCCTCGACTTCGTAAAGTGCTAGGATTACAGGTGTGAGCCACTGCACCTAGCCTTAATATCAAATTTTATGTTGCAATTATAAATAAATGGATAGAATCATAGAATACTAGTAATTTTCCAACCTCTCAAATGATGATTATCTTCCCACTAAAAGGCTAGACATCCTCAGTTTGCCTCCTATAGGTTTCAGTTTCCTTTCTTGTACAATTATTAAGTTGAGCTGGATGATCTCAAAGCTGCCTTCCAGATCTGGCATTCCATGCTTCTATAAGTTGTTTCTATAAATAAATATTTATTTAAATATAAGCAGCATAAAAAAGTGGTGAAATTCTAAACACAAAATTCTGGAGAGTGCTTATCTTTGGTTGGGAGGCAGAGGGATGGGAAAAGGGATGTGCATATATGCAAATGCAAGCTTTTGATAATCTTTTAGTTCTTGAGTTGTCTAGTGACTTCACTAATAATTTATACATATTACATGTTGTTTTTTTCAATTCCAATATTTTTAAAAGATAGCATAAGGAAATTACTGAATGGCTACTCCATTTGGTTCTAAGAATCAAGTATCTGATGTTAGGCTGTGCTACATAAAAGCATGGGGCAAGACTTCTTTAAAGCAAATACAAGTAGAAGAGGAGTGGATGATGAGCCCAGATTGCTCAGAGATTATAAAACTAGCTTGAAATACTTTTCATTTTCTTTCAAAGCAGAAATCCTGTATTTTCATCAGTTTTTGGATATGACAAAGAAAAAATGCAGAAGGGTAACAGACTTGTCATTTTTGCAATAAGAAATTCTGGAGCCAGAAAAGATAAACACTAGATACTCAAGATATTTCTATTCACACTGACATTGCTTATCTGAAATAAGTTCAACATCTTAATGAGTGGATCCTGAGCTAAAATTTCCATTGAATATGATTCTATTCTGCTCTTTTGGCCATTCAGCTGTAAAATATCAAAACCAACTGTATGTACACCCTCATAAGAATCAATTCGAGATAGAACAAGCTTGACAATGGAGGCTTTACAGCCTTCTTTGCTGGTAGAACATTTGAATATTTGTAGTTCAAGTTCTAATCACTGCTTATTTCTTGAGCCCAGTGGCTAGTAAAGTCCAATGAATTGTGACTTCTAAAGTTGTCAAATTAAGAGACTGTGGCTAGACGGTGGCAAATTATTTCTCTTTTGAGAGTCTATCAAAGGCTTATTTCAGAAAAGAGTAATGAACAATGTCCTCTGAGTACACATGCAAAAATGCACCAATAATAAATTTTGACACTAACCAAAGAGAATAGAGAAAATCAAAGAGAAGAGCTGAGGGTTACAATGAAGTTTTAGCATTCTGGGGAATTATGTAGGGAACAGAATTATCCAAAGGTTCTGCCTTAGATTAGTCCATTCATCCATTGCTACAAAGAACTACCTGAGACTAGGTAATTTACATAGAAAAGAGGTTTAATTAGCTCATGCTTTTACAGGCTGTACAGGCTTCCCTAGCTGGGGAGGCCTAAGGAAACTTAGAATCATGGTGAAAGCATGAAGGGGAAGCAGGCATGTCCTACATGGCTGGAGAAGGAGGAAGAGAGCGAAGGGGGAGGTGCTACACACTTTTAAAACACCAGATCTCTTGATAACTCACTCCCTATCATAAGAACTGCAAGGAAGAAATCCGCCCAACAGGCCCCACCTCCAACACTGGGAATGACAACTCAACAGGAGATTTGGGCAGGGCCACAAATCCAAACCATATCATTCTGCCCCCGGCCCCTCCCAAATCTCATGTCCTCACACTACAAAATACAATCACCCCTTCTCAACAGTCCCCCAAGTCTCAACTTATTTCAGCATTAACTCAAAATTCCACAGTCCAAAGTCTCATCTGAGATAAGGCAAGTCTCTTCTGCCCATCAACCTGTAAAATCAAAAACAAGTTAGTTACTCTCAAGATACAATGGGGGTACAGGCATTGGATAAATACACCTGTTGCAAAAGGAAGAAATAAGCCCAAACAAAGGGGTAACAGTCCCCATGCAAGTCTGAAACCCAGCAGGGAATTCATTAAATCTTAAAGCTCCAAAATATTCTTCTTCTTCTTTTTTTTTTTTTTTTTTTTTTTTGAGACGGAGTCTCGCTCTGTCCCCAGACTGGAATGCAGTGGCATGATCTTGGCTCACTGCAAGCTCCGCCTCCCAGGTTCACACCATTCTCCTGCCTCAGCCTCCTGAGTAGCTGGGACTACAGACGCCCACCACCACACCTGGCTAATTTTTTGTGTGTTTTTAGTAGAGACAGGGTATCACCATGTTAGCCAGGATGGTCTCGATCTCCTGACCTCGTGATCCACCCGCCTCGGCCTCCCAAAGTGCTGGGATTACAGGCGTAAGCCACCACACCTGGCCTAAAATATTCTTCTTTGACTCCGTGTCTCACATCCAGACCACACTTATGCAAGGGGGCGAGCTTCCAAGACCTTGGGAAGTTCTGCTTCTGTGGCTCTGCGGGTATGGCCCCCTTGGTTACTTGCACAGGCTGGCATTAAATGTCTGCCGCTTTTCCAGGTGCACAATGCAAGTCGTCAGTGGATCTACTATTCTGGGGTCTGGAGGATGGTGGCCCTCTTCTCACAGCTCCACTAAGCAGTGCCCCAGTGGTGACTTTGTATGGTGGCTTCAACCCCACATTTTTTCCCCTCACACTGCCCCAGTAGAGGTTCTCCATGAGGATTCTGCCACTGTAGTGGGCTTCTGTCTGCACATCTGTGCATTTCCATACATCCTCTGAAATCTAAGTGGAGGCCCCCAAGCCTCAACTCTTGCCCTCTGCACACCCATAGGCTTAACACAATGTCAAAGCTGCCAAGGCCAACAACTTTCACCCTCTGGAGCAGCAGTCTGAGACATATCTGGGGCCCTTTTAGCCATGGCTGGAGCTAGAGCAGCTAGGATCAGGGAGCAGCGTCCTGAGGTTGATCAGGGCATTGGGGTCCTGGGTCCAGCCTACAATATCATTCTTCCCTCCTCAGCCCACAGGCCTGTGATGTGAGGGGCTGCTGCCATGAATGTCTCTGAAATCCCTTTGAGGCATTTTCCCCTATTGTCTTGGCTATTAACATTTGGCACCTCTTATGCAAACTTCTTCAGCCAGCTTAAATTCCTTCACAGAAAATTGGTTTTTCTTTTCTACCACATAGCCAGGCTGTAAATTTTCCAAACTTTTATGCTCTGCTTCCCTCTTAAATATAAGTTCCAGTTTCAGATTGTGTCTTTGCTCACACATATGAGCATAGGCTGATGGAAGCAGCTAGGCTAATTCTTGAATGCTTTACTGCTTAGAAATTTCTTCTGTCAGATACTCTAAATCATCTCTCTCAAGTTCAAAGTTCCACAGATACCTAGAGCATGGGCACAATGCTGCCAGTCTCTTTACTAAAGCATAGCAAGAGTGACCTTTCCTCCAGTTCCCAAAAATTTCCTCATCTCCATCTGACACCTCATCAGCCTGGCCATCTCTGTTCATATTACAATCAGCATTTTGGTCAAAACCACTCCACAATGCTTTAGGAAGTTCCAAACTTCCCTCATCTTCCTGTCTTCTTCTGAGCCCTCGCAACTGTTCTAACCTCTGCCCATTACCCAGTTTCAAAGCTGCTTCCACATTTTCAGGTATCTTTATAGCAATGCCCCACTCCTCAGTACTAATATTCTGTATTATTCCATTCTCATATTGCTATAAAGAAATACCTGAGACTGGATAATTTATAAAGAAAATAACTTTAATTAGATCACACTTCCACAGACTGTACAGTAAGTCTGGGTGTGGAGGTCTCAGGAAACTTACAATCATGGCGGAAGGCAAAGGGGAAGGAAGCAGGCATGTTATACATGGCTGGAACAGGAGGAACAGAGTAAAGGGGGAGGTGCTGCACACTTTTCAACAACCAGCTCTCTTGAGATCTCACTCACTATCATGAGAATAGCAAGGGGGAAATCTTCACATCATTCAATCACCTCCACCATGACCCTCCTCCAACATTGGGGATTACAATCCAACATGAGATTCAGACAGGGACACAAATACAAACCATACCAGCCTCTATAACACTTTTGGTATCAAGTTCACAAGCTAAAACTAGTTAATCTGGTATTACCAAATTAATACCTTTCGTTGCAATATCCTTTATGGATTTTATCATACAACCTAATGTGGAATATGGCTGATCTTAATTGAATTAGAAGGTATCATGTATACACAATGAAGGTCACAGAGAACTGTAGTGCTAAAAAATAATGGTATTTATTTCTAGCTTTACCAGTCCATTTTATACTCATATGGCAGAGAAGACATACAGACTTTTTGTCACTCAAATGTGATTCAATTGTTATGTTACTAAAACAAAAGAAACAATTCAATGCAAGGAAATACACACAATGAATTTGGATTGTGAATATATCTTATTGAAAACATCCTGTCCTGTTTATATGTGTCACTAGCGATTCTATCTGCACCAAATGGCTATGTAGCACCGACTCCTCAGAAAAGACAATAGAGCCTCACTAAGGGGTAAATTAAAATATGATGGTCAATTTAGTCACTATAACAATGTCCATATACTATTTCTTCATGCTATAGATTTTAAAAAGAGTCAACATACTGTAATTTGTCCTTATGGTAACAGAGCATATTTCAGAAGAAAGGAACCTTTAAAACGATCATTTTACTGATAGGGAAACCTGAGATTAACATAAATGAAGGCCAAGGTCAACTGCTAATTAGTGGATGAACCATTAGTTTACTGTTAAAAGCTGTTGTTGTTCATCAGCCAAAAAGATAGGCAGAGACGTATAAGTCATCCCTAAGATGTAGGGCCATTATAGGGATCAAGCTTAGGTTGGGAACAGCATTAGAATCCACAGGGTTCTACTGAAGGAGGCACCTCTTTTCTGGCCAGTAGCCTGATTAGAAGAAAAATCAATGTTTATTATAAAATTTCTATTTATTTATTTATTTGTTTTGGACATTGCAGAGAGAGGCAATTCTTTGTTTTTATTGACAAAAGAATCTTTGTCTATAATGAAGACAGAGCTAGAATAACAGTATGTCCTACAATAAAGTAATCCACATAACTCTCAGCATAACATATAGAATGCAATGGCACACTACACAATCAGCATTCATCAAATGTTTATTATTGAGTGCCTAGTCTCGGCCGGAAACTTGTGTGAAAGGTGAAATAATTGATCTATTCTTGATATATTTATCATCCTAACTTTATGTAAGACACTATTCTAGACTAATGAACATAAAAATGAAAAACAGACAAGTATTACACTGTTGAATAAGTATAAGGAGCTTTCATAATGAAGCAGCTAGACTCCCTTACAGTTGATTTGTACATTTGAGCTCAAACAGGTTATTTTTATTAGCGTTTATCACTAACAGATTGCATGTACAAAGAACAAATAAATTGATTGTAATAGCTGTCTTTTCCTTTGCAAAAGAAAGAAAAAGATAGAGACCCCTGTGACAGTGTTACATACCATTTAAAAAAAAAACCTAATGCTAGTTATCATAGCAAATAAAAGATGCTGTTCACCATCATCAAACTGAAATCTACTCTACTGCTTGGCAGTGTGAGCAGAGTCATGAACCCAGGGTTTAGGAAAATTTCCATTCTAATTACATTGTGTTCTTACCCATTATGATGTCACCAAAATCTATTAACCTGTACATTGATGGAACCATATGTGTTCTCAATTTAATTTATTTACAATGAGTTATTTTGCCATGAAAATAATGTAAGCTTTGGAGTTAAAATTCATGTATTTGACCATATACTGTCTATTTGAACTTTACTACATCACTGAGCCTCTTTGGGCCTTAGTTTCTTCTAATACCGAAGAGAAATCATGACACTACTCGCTCTACTTGCCTTATAGAATTTTCATGATAATCAAAGGAAATATGTTGATGTGAAACTGCTTTGTGAACTAAATTGCTAAACAAATGTGAGCCTCCAAATAAATGACCAATATATAATATCTTTTTTTGCCAATTCTTGTATCTACTAAGAAGGGTCTAAAACAAGAATTGGAAAGCAAACGAATGCAACATGACTGAAGTTGATAATCATATACTATTAGATAGGTATAATCGGAAACACCACCAAGAATGTGTCAATACTTCCAATCATTCTTACTATTATCAATGGGCAATAATACATGTGTTTTGAAGGGAAGATGAAACCTATTCTTAATGCATATAATTTCTTTTTAGGCTACTTTTTTGGCCCCTGCAGCCCATTAACATTAAACAAGAAAAAAATCTAAGACCTCCAGGTATTAGTAAGTCTTCAGTGACCAGAATGATTTGTGACTGTAGCTTTTACTGACGATGAAGTACATAACATACGGAATAGCTGTTACATTTAGCCTGTCAACTCATTAAATTCTTTGTTTGAATATAAAATTTTTATTTAAAAGATATTATTTTGTATAACCATATTAACATATAATACATGCTTCAATGATATGATATCTGTCACTTAATTAAACTTCTCTACCTAGTCTTTGCAATAATATTCAGAGATCATTATGAGGAATAAAGCAACAAATCCAAAACCCTTGTTTCCTAAAATTAAAAACAAGGTGCATACTCTTTCCTTTCCCCACTGCAACATATTGAAAATAACACTAAAATATTTGGATTGGAAGTTTTTATTAGATCTTATTTTCTTCCCTTTTAAAATCAATTTCTTTGTTTCTTGTACACATCTCTTGTCAATAAAATGAAAAATGATATAGATTTAGGAGGATAGTGGTCTCAGTGTAGCATCTCTCATATTATTATTCCAGTATCATCTGTTACAAAGTAAGACCAATTCCCACATCTAATTACAAACAGGATTTCAGAGTCATTAAACAAAATACATTTCCATTAATGCTGCTGTAAGAAGATAGGGGAAAAATGAAGATTAGTTCATGCTGCACCTCTGCTTTTCAAGCTTTGAAGATTTAGACCTCTGTACTTAGAGACTATAAATTTGTCAAAGATCAGAAAAGTTATAGACATGTAAAAATGCTTTATTTTACGTAGCTTAGGCTGTGCTACTTGCATTTTGTCATTAGTTTTTATTGTGTTGCATTTAGTACATATGGAAATTAACAAGAGACTGAAAAATTCCTTCTCTATTGCTTGGTAGGTGCCTGGAGGTATCTCGTTATGTTCTACAAAGACATGTTCCTCATACTTCAAAGTAAATTTGCTACAACAAAACTTGCATAAGAAAATAGATTACTTTCAAGTAGGTAATTTTGATTCAATAAGACAAAGTTATTTTTTTCTCCTATTAAAACACAGTGCTAATTCTTCAAATACAAGGAAGGTAACAGAATAAATAAACCAAGTAAAGTGGTTCATGCAATATCCCTATATGGATGAAATATAAACTAAGAGGTATATATTTTCCTTCAGTGAAATGTGCAGTTCTCATTAACGTTAATGAATCCAGGGAAGACATTGCTGAATGTCTGAAGGACACATTTTTTTCACTTTATTTACTTACAATTTTCTTATGGAAAGTTTGTTTCAAGTAGTCCAAACAGAACTTTAAAGTGTTCCTGTTCATAGTATTTTAAGCCATATAGCTCATGGAGATCCAAACAATTCTAAACTGAAGAAAGTTAAATATGATGGCTCTGGTCCTACAGGGAAAGGAGAGAGAAGTCTCCTCATTTGAATTTTAACTCTTTAAAGAATAATGACAAATCTAATATATTACATCAATCCTTTTACTCTTTTATTGTGGAAGGAAAGTGGTTAAGACCAGGGCCTGCCTGCCTTTCTTTCTTTCTTTCTTTCTTTCTTTCTTTCTTTCTTTCTTTCTTTCTTTCTTTCTTTCTTTCTTTCTTCTTTCTTTCTTTCTTTCTTTCTTTCTTTCTTTCTTTCTTTCTTTCTCTTTCTTTCTTTCCTTCCTTCTTTCTTTCTTTCATTCATTCTTTCTTTCTCTTTCTTCTTTCTTTCTTTTCTTTCTTCTTTCTTTTTTTCTCTTCTTTTCTTTTTTCCTTCCTTCCTTCCTTCCTCCCTCCCTTCCCTTCCTCTTCCTTCCTTCCTTCCTTCCTTCCTTCCTTCCTTCCTTCCTTCCTTCCTTCTTTCCTTCCTTCCTTCCTTCCTCTCTCTCTCTCTTTCTCTCTCTCTTTCTTTTTTTTTTTGACAGAGTCTTGCTCTGTCATCCAGGGTGGAGTGCAGTCTCGGCTCACTGTAACCTCTGCCTCCCAGGTTCAAGTGATTCTCATGCCTCAGCCTCCCAAGCAGCTGGGACTACAGGTGTGCACCACCACGCCAGGCTAATTTTTTTTTTTTTTTTTTTTTTTAGTAGAGATGGGGTTTCTCTGTGTTGGCTAGGCTGGTCTGGAACTCCTGGCCTCAAGTGATCCACCTGCCTCAGCCTCCCAAAGTGCTGGGATTACAGGGGAGAGCCACCATGCCCGGCCCAGGGCTACATGCTTTACTATGCACTGTTAAGATGCATCATACAGCAACTCAGTGTTTTCTAACATGTATGAAGGAAATGTAGTTATTCTAGAATTCTAGAAGAAAATGAAGAATTGGCAATGAAACAATATCTGGATTATTAATTTTCTAAAGTTTCTTTACAGACTGTTCCTAAACTAAATGGGCATCTTACCTATGTATTGCCACACCTCTCTTTTTCCCTTCTGCAATTAGAGTGACAGCAATAACTCATTACTCTATGTACAAAGGGAGAATTGCCACAGCTAGAATTGTCTTTACTGTAATCTTATCCCACTTACTATTTTACACATCAGAAAACTGAGGCTCAGGTACAGAAAGAGACTTGCCTGGATTTGCAGCTACTTCTTGGCAGAGGTGGTTCTAGAATCCAGGTCTTTTAACACCTAATGTTAGGTTGCTTCCTCTGCAATTTCCCAACTTAATGTCAAATACACTCTCTTATTTCACCCTCTTATTTTTCCTCATTCCCAAACCATCATGGTAGTTCTTGTTTCTTGCTTGAGAGCAGAGACATCTTTCCTGGACTATGACTGTAGTGATAGTAATGTTGATGCAGGTGCTTCAGCACTTCAGCATGCATGTGCTTATTCTCTCTCTCTCTCTCTCTCACACACACACACACACACATCCCACTCCAAAAACATTGCTGAAGTATATGAATGCCTTTATTAACTTAATATATCTGGTAGACGTAGTAGAGAAGAGGAGTAAACAGAGGTTGGTGGAGATGAAAAAGAGAGGATACAGTTAGAAAATATCATCCAGAAGCAAAGGAACCAGGCAAAATGACAATCCAGACCTCAGACCATTCTACAAGTTGACTCAAAATATTAATTTAGCTTCCTGAATTTTTCACTTATTGTTATTTTGCCAGTAGAAATAGCATATAATAGTGATGATGATGAGTTTTCTGAAAATAAAAAAGTGTAAATTAATGTTCCTCCCAAAGAAGTCCTGTATGCAATACAAAATCCACAAGAACTTATGAAAAGAAAGTTTAACCATCTATATGTCGAAGTATGCACATCTGTTTCCATAGAAATGCTAGCGACCCAGAAATCAGGGAATAACATATGTTTTATAAATTTTTGCTATTCATTATTTCCAGTGGAAATCCCATCAAAAGATTTGTAGGTTTTTTTTTTTAACAAAGTAATATATAATTTTAAATTGAACCCTCATCAGCAATTAACTTCCTGAAATCTATCTGGACAGACTTTTCCAAAATATAGATGATACAAAAAAATATTACTTTCTAATTCTATGCCATTAATCGTGATTGGCTGGTTGTGATTTTTCCTTCGTTGGCTATAAATTAGCAGCTAATATGGAATAGAAGATTTTCATTAAGTATTTTCTGGCTTAGCAACAATTAAACACTTATAAATGCAGAGAGGCTTACAGAGAAATGGTGAGATGCAGCAGTAGAGTAGAAAACACATTAGGCTCACTAGACTGAAAACACAAAATCTTGGCTCTATTACCACTAATTTTCTCTTATTGTCAAAATATGTAACCTTAAGAGACACACTTGATTCTTTTGTGCCTCTCTTTGTCTCTTCTATGATAATAGTCAGAATACTGGCTTCTTACTTGCCTCATAGGGGTAATTCAAAGGCATAAGGATGTCAATAACTATATTTTGACAAGATGTTGCTAGAGAATGCTGCCCTTGTGTATTCAATAAAATTATTTTAAATGCTTACATGTATAGTATCTATAAATTCATTTTTGTATTAGTAGACTATAAAACTTTCCATGTTTATAAATGGCATGCTGATGTGCTTAAATCAGTAAAATAAAGTGTTTCCTTATGTTTATTGAAGGCAAAATGGTTAAGAAAACACTTTGTTCATGGGATAAATGTGTAAAAATAATACCTACTGTAACAACTTCAAAACACTCCGGGGAACCTTGCACAACACTCAGAAACATGAAAAACAATCTTTGGTCTTGTCATCTTTACTCTAACACTAAAATAACAGCCTAGGCATTTTGCTTTTTTAGACTAAAAGATGTACCCCTTTTGCCTTTCGAAGCACTTGAAAATTTAAAAAAGAAAAACTCAAAAATGCTGACTGCATAATAGCTGAGAATTCATGGTGGGTGTAGAACATGAAAGGTTACAATATGGATCTGTGCCTACGCATTTCTTTTCAACTCAAGCAGAATCCTCCTGCATCTGCTAACTCGGCAATCATGCAGCTGACAGATTTCTGGGTTTTCTAAATAATGCATGGGCTTTTCTTTTAACATGTCAGTGCAAAGGTATCAATTCTGCCCCAGTGTCTTTCATGATGTTGATTTGCCTTGACAGCATTCCATTAAACCAATGAGTTTTTCCCCTCCTGATGGTTCCTTAAATATTCATGCAAGTGATGTATTTGTTGTTTTTAAACGTATTATGAAGGATGTTTGCATTTATAAGAAAACTCCATGGCAGGTATAGTTGGAAAAAGAGGTAGAACAACAATCAAACTTTACAGCATGATGCTTTTCCTCATTCCTTTGATTCCTCCAACTCCCTCCCTCCTCCCGACCAACACCACCTTTACCCTCCCAAAAGAAGTTCTACACTCAAAACATTTGAACTTCCTAAAGAAATAACACTGAAATATTTACTACTGCTTGATATATCTCTTGAGAAAGCAAAAATATATTTATTAAATAATGCATGTTAACTTCAGCATCTACACTAGGAAAACAAATGCTTTGTTCTTTGCTCAGTGTTTTATGGGAACAGGTACTGTCTCCAGTACAATGCATTGATGTTCCATTGATGTTTCTCCCAGTAGTAGAAACAAGTCTAAAAGCCAGAAAGTAAGAAGGGAATAGCATTTGTGCTCTATTTCTATAATGAGTTTTGTATTTTTCATAGACACTGCTGCCTATAAAATATAAACCCTGACCATCTGCAGAAAATAACTTTTGCCTCCTGGTTAAAAATGATTTAGATGCAAATCAGTCCTAATGGTTTATAGAGGTTTCTTTGCAAATTTCTGCAAGCCATTTAAGATAAACATTAGGATCTTATGATGATCACCTAGAGGAGGCACTTGTAACCAACCATTTATGATGCAGCTAGAGAGACTTGACAATTTAATTCATGTAGAAAAAAAAGAGACCTGGTCTGATAACGCATTAGGTTAAGCGGACATGGTGTCAAATTCCACATGGAGAATGATCCTTGTGAAGGAACAACTTCTTTTTTTTTGCCAAGAAAGAGAAGTTAGGCATCTTAAATAAGATTTAGAAATACCGTTCATTAGGAAATATTGCAGGTTCAGAAAAGAATGAGGTAAACTTTGAAACAGGCAGAGTTTGTGTCTGGGATCCTAACTTTTAGTTCTTTTTTCTCTCCTGTTGTTTAAAATCTCTATCCAGGGAATTCCCTCCTCTCATCAGCATTAGCTCTCAAACTTTGATTCACACTAACATGTAAACAACTGATAAGTGTCAAAAATATAATACCCTGGGTAGCTTTACAATTAACTTTATGCTTTGCATTAAACACATCCTAAGAGATGGCAATGGCAGAAACATGACAATTTCTCAGAGTCCATAAAATTATCTTACTTAAAGATAAGGTTAGCTCTGAGAAAGTGTCTTATGTTACTTCATTAATTATATCTAATTCTGAAAGGAAACATACTCTTTAGAATCTGTGCCCATCAACTTCCCTCAGTAAGTTAAAAACCAAAACTCTCATACAGCAGAGAAATGAATATTTCCTACAGTGAGTGCCTACATTGTTTCTATATTTTTTTACTCCGAGAGTCAATGGTCTTAATAGCGGTTTCTTGAAAGTTTCTCCAACTATATTCTTGTCTTATTATTAAAAAGCTACTAATTTTCACTGTCCATAATTGTGTTCTATTTTTTATTTCACTTTATATTTTATTGTTTTATTATTTATAGTACAATTTTTGATAAATGTTTATCCTACGTGTAATCATTATCCTTTTATCATTATCATCACATATTTATATACAGATAAAGACTATATATGTGTATAGCGCATAAATATAAATCTGTATGTATATAATATTCAGTGTGTTAATCCCTTTGAAAGGGGTCTTATTTAACTGTTGTAAGGTTTAAGATTTAGGCATAATTCTCCATAGTAAGCCAGAAGAGAAGAGAAAAAAATCTAGGAAGATATAACTCCCTTAAGGACTTGCCAAAACCTATGAGACTGTACCTTAAGACAGTTCACCCAGTGGCAACTTCCCCAGAATTTGCTTTTTCTTCTCTCCTTGTACTACTGTTCATGTTATTTCAGTAGAAAGAACTTACATAACCCCCATCTCCCACCTTTTTTTTTTTTTGAGACGGAGTCTCGCTCTGTCACCCAGGCTGGAGTGCAGCGGCGTGATCTCGGCTCACTGCAACCTCCGCCTGCCTGGTTCAAGCTATTCTCCTGCCTCCCGACTAGCTGGGACTACAGGAGTGTGCCACCACGCCCGGCTAATTTTTTGTATTTTTAGTATTAGTAGTGTCAGGGTTTCACCGTGTTAGCCAGGATGATCTCGATCTCCTGATCTCGTGATCTGCCCGCCTCGGCCTCCCAAAGTGCTGGGATTACAGGCGTGAGCCACCTCCCACCTTTTGAAGTAAAATAGACATGCCTTTGTCCCAACTAGTGATACCTTCTTACTTTACTCTGCCTACATTTCCTCCCCCTTAATCTGAACTGTCTTACCCCATATGTGACCAGAAGCCAAGGGTTAGAATACTAGGCTAATTCTAGTAGAGCTGTGTCTATGAAAGCATTGGTTTTGATGACAATACTACTATGATGACCCCTATGTGGCATAATTTATTTTCTTGCTCTATATTGTTTATACTATAAACTTTAGAAAAGTCAGAGGTCAATTCCTCTCTGTACATATCAACCAAACAATCATATTTCACTTCTTAAACTTTCTTTAAAGTCACAATCTTTGTTTTTATTATAGAGGGCATTAAAGTTTCTGCTACTTGGCAGGATCAGCTTGCCTCTAAAAAGGGGAACTACAATGTTGGAATATCAAGAAATTTGCATAAGAAAGACCATAGAGTGCAGAGTATCCAGGAAATGCATGGTGTATGAAAATCTATTTTTTGAAACCAATCTGTGAATATGTAATGTACAAAATTCACTTTGGAAATGTAAAATGTTTGACATTTCTTCAAAGTGTTAACAACAGAGTTATCATTTTACCCAGCAATTCTACTCCTTGGTATATATCCCAGAGAAATGAAACCATATGTCTACACAAATCTTGCGCACAGATGTTTATAGCAACATCATTTATAGTAGCCAGAAAGTGGAAGCAACCCAAATGGCCATGAACAGATAAATGGATAAACAAAATGTAGTATTTTCATAAACGGAATCTCATTCAGGCATTAAAATAAATGAAGTTCTGATACATGCTACAATATGGATGAACCTTAAAAACATTATTCCAAGTAAAATAAGTCAGACACAAGAGGTCACGTATTGTATGATTCCATTTACATGAAATATCCAGAATAGGTAAATCCATACAGAGAGTACAATGTAATAGTAGATTAGTGGTTTCCAGGTTCTTTGCGGATGCAGAGAAATGGGCATCCTAATGGGTACAGGATTTCTTCATGGAGTGATAAAATATTTCTGGAATTTGATAATAAGTTATTAGGACTAGAATTACATAATGATAGTAGTTGTATAATTCTGTAAATATACTAAAACCACTGAACTGTACACTTCAAAAGAGTGAATTTTATGGTATGTGAATTTTACCTCAATAAAACTCATAAAATTTTCACTTTGGACACTACAGAACGTCCAAACCTTTCCATAAGGGCACAAGTATTTATTACTTGAGTTCAATGCATGAACTAGGTTCACTGTATATACTGATCATATCCATGACTGTGATGTTAATATCTGAGTATAGGATCATAGAAAATTAGGATTTAGAAAAAATAATGGTGATTATTTCTGAGTCCCTTACACTAATATGTCCAGTGTAAAGTAGAATCCATTAAATGTTGGAGATATTTAATGAGCTCAACTCTATGTGAAACTATATGCTTATTAAACTGCCTTTAAAAAAGTAAACAGAAACAAAATAATAAGAGTATATATGTATACCATGACAGTGCAGAATTACTATTATTTTGATTTTTAGATACATATATACTCTAAAGAGGTAGATACTCAAAATCAATATATGCTGTAAATTAACTTTGAAATCTGGCATTGTATTAAGCAAATTACTATTGAATATTTTGTCATGTTCCAGTTAATTCATGAAGGAATACTTCTTAAATGATAGTGTATACCAATAATTACTTATTGTAAACTCCGTTTATGAACACAATCTCTCAACTAACATAGATATGACAATAGTATCCTCAAAGGTTGTAGAAAATAAAATAAAATTCTATTATTTTTTGGCCCAGTTTAAGAACCATTGCCTATATTTTCCCATTCTGTTATTTTTTACCTGTTTGTACTTAACCTGCAAGGATAACACGTGTGTCTTGGAAGATACTGCAAATGAATTTGCAAATACCTTGAAGGGAACAGTATGCTGGATAACACCCTGCATGGCTTCCTAAAGATTGAGTCTTGTCAGGCGAATCTAATCTCCTGTGACAGAATGACAGCCTGGGAGATAGAGGGGAAGCAATAGATATAATTTATTTTGACTTTACTAAGGTTTTTGAGACCATTCTAAACAATTGGCTCATCAATATATTGTGAAAATCCAGTCAGATCACACACCTGAAGAGAGTTCCCAGCAGGGGCACGAAGAGTGATCACCCATGAATAAATGTTAAGTTGAGGCAATAATACAAAAAAAGTATTTTCCAAATCCCAAAAGCAGGAAAAACATTTCTGTCAGTGTACTGAACATGGACAGAGGCACATTTTGATCCCATGACACTAACCTCAAATTTCTAAGGAAGGGTTCAGAACCTGAAGTGACATCACTAAGTGAAAGATTCTGTAAGG
Source organism: Homo sapiens (assembly GCF_000001405.40). Classification (NCBI taxonomy): domain Eukaryota; kingdom Metazoa; phylum Chordata; class Mammalia; order Primates; family Hominidae; genus Homo; species Homo sapiens. Next base: position 86,659,929 of record NC_000023.11, on the reverse strand, counting down.
AATAAATAGTATGGACTATGAGAGCAACAGATTCAGGAGAGTACCCATTAAGTAAAAACAATACAAACAGAAGATGGGACTAGACTAATGATGCTCAAGAATTATAATAATGAAGATTAGAATTCAAAGGCAATGTGATTATCTCAGATTCGTTCATTGTAACCAAGGCACAAAGAGAGGATGCTTGTTTGAAATCACTTGTTTTGAACCACACAAAACTGTAGCAGAGCTAGATATTTAGCATTAATGTACAAAAAACCAGAAACATTAAATGAGAATAACATGTAGGAACCAAGACAACATATTCAACACTGATTAGATCTTCTCAAAAGTGAAGTTCTGCCCTATGATTTGATAATAGCATAGTTGGGGACAGGAGGAAGGTGGAGGACTAGGAAGATCAGAATGATTACGTGTTGGCTAATAAGATCTATAAGGATAGATCACATCATTTCAAATTATTAATTGTGAGGAAGAGATAACATTAGACCAAACTCTGAGGTGGCTTCATACAAACTGACCTTAATATTACTGACAAAACAAGAAATGTAATTCACTAGATGAGGTATTAGGAATAGACATAATAAACAATTCCCCAGTAGTGAGAGTTGCTTACTCCTGGAATGAGTTATAGAAGGGTACTGAAAAAACAATAGTTCCTTCTGGCTTACTTTTTAAGCAGTCATAAGCACAGAAGAAAGATGGGTAGAGTAGTGAAAGTTGAAAATTCTATCAGAAAAAAAAACCCTCTCAAAACAGTTCTTGGTACCAGGAGCTAATAAAAACAGCATGCCTCGCTTGATTCCCTAGAAACATCTTTCTCCACATCTAATGAGATGTTTGGATAACATAAAGAAAGAAGGCAATCTTGGGATTTTCTAATTCAACTTTGCCAGTTAATCAACCATATACACTTTGATTCTCTCCACTATAAGCTATATTTTCCAAAAGGTAAAGTACTCAACATCTGCTCCATGGAAGCAAAACTGACACAAAAGTCAGAAAAAGCAGGGACTCGGAGGATAAAGATTTACGTGGTTATAATCGTGGGTTTTCCAGAGAACATCACTGAGCATAGTTCTTCCTGAAATAAGCAATGCAGTTAAAAATACTCCATTTATTTCTACAAGTAAATGGGCAACCCTGGAAGTCTTTGTTATAGTTTAAAAATAGATTCTGCTACTGTATAACTATATTTCTAATTTGACAGCTACAATTATAATCATTCAAGCATCTATTTCCCACAAACTCTCTACAGCCATAACCTTTAGTGATTGATTATAAAGCTCCATGAGAAATAGTACACAGACTAATTTCCTAAAACAATAAAAAACAGAATTTCTCATTTGGAGCTAAATGAAACATGAACACGTTGTTATTCATGCTGAAATCTTGATGCAGAGTCATGGTGCAGCCATTATGGAAACTATTAAACAAACCTCAAATCAAAGAAACTATAGGTCTGCCTTCAAAGAGAAAATTCGGTTCTTGCATAAGAATATTCTAACTCCTATATTTGCTTTTTTCCTTTAAAGCTTAATGATACTGACTCTATTTTCATACTCTCCTGTCTCTGCTCTTGTCGAATCACCCAAAAATATCAACTTAAGCAAAATAGAAGATGTAAGAACTCCCAGCAGGAAAACTCTTTTTCACACACATTCAAACATCTCAACTAAATACAGCCTTCCAGTATTTTTAGGTCAGTGTCCCGCTTATTTCAGGATGTGTCAATAAATTTGGAAATTTCCTTAGGTCATGAAGTATGTGCTCTCTGACAATGCTGGTTGGTTTTTTTGTGAAGAGCAAAATGCACAATGGTTGGTCTCATACCCTCTAGGAAGATAGTACTTTGCTGTACATTTCTCTGTTTAGTTCAATTGTGAAAACATGATATTTTAATCTGTATTTTGATAAAGCCTTTCACAAATAAAAGCCAGTACCTCCACAATTAAATGGCAAGAATCAATGGGTAATGGGGGGCTAGAATAAAAAGTTACAAGGAATATGCTGAGAAAATAAAATATGATCCTTTTTAAAATGACAAGATAGATAAACATATTAACACCAGCAGAAAAATTTTAATTGAATACTTGGCATGTTTTTATATCTGTCATATTTTGCCTTCAGGGGATTTAGCCACTAATAACAATGATGAAATTAAATAGCAATCCTACCACAATAAGGCATTTAAAACAGAGTGTGCTCCCTCTTAAATTGAAAAACAAACTCATTTTTAAAATTTTCTGGCTACACAAACCTTGTGAAAACGGCTTATAAGAACCAAAAATTGTCCTTTCTCAAGTAAAATGTTCATATGACCAAAAATACATTCAACAAAGAGAGACCATTCATTTATATTTTTAATAGTGTCCTATTAAAACAAATGCCACTCATAAGGGAGAAAACAGGAAAGGTAACATGCACTCAGCTTGATTTCAGAGCAGGGCTCTAAATCATTGAGTTTACACTTAAAACAATATAAAATTCTAAATCATATTTAATAATTTATAATATTTGTGGATCTAACTAGGTTTTTAATTTTTGTGGGTACATGGTAAGTATATTTATGTATTACATGAGATATTTTGATACAGATATACAAAACAATAATCACATCAGGGTAAATGGGGTATCTATCACCTCAAGCATTCACGCTTTGTGTTATCCACAAAGAATACAATCCAATTACATTCTTTTAGCTATATTTAAATGTACAACTAAATTATTTTTGACTATAGTATCCCTGTTGTGCTAGCACATACTAGGTTTTATTCATTCTTTCTATTTTTGTACCTGTTAACCCTCCCCACATCACCTCCTCACCTCACCCCCCACTACCCTTCTGAGCCACCTTCTACTCTCTATCTCCATGTATTCACTCATTTTAATTTTAACTCCCACAAATAAGTGAGAATATGCAAAGTTTGTCTTTCCGTGCCTGGCTTACTTCACTTAACGTATTAACCTCCAGTTCCATCAATGTTGTTGCAAATGACAGGATCTTGTTATATTTTTATGGCTGAACACTACTTCACTATATATATATATATATATATATATATATATATACACACACACACATGTATTTTAATACATATGTATGTATTTTATGGCTTGATTAATTGGACAGTTTCAGAACTTCAAGTGAAATATTTGTTATCTATATCTTACTTAATTGAAGAGAAAAAAGATGATACCAAGAAAGAAAATCTATCAGAGATGTAGTGAAAACAGTAATTCCCAGAGTAGATCTTGAGGTCAGATCAGGTCTAATCTGAAGTCTGGTAACTATTTTGTCAACAAAATATTAGTCAAGCCAAATTAAGGACAATCTCCTTTATCAGCTGCATCTCTATCTCTAGGTTTACTGATTGAGATTCAATATAAAGTAAAGAAATTAGATTATGTAGCTTAAACTATACTAGAAAATTGATTCAAACATTAGAAGCATAATGTTATGGTGGAAAGATCAAGGAACTATGAATCAGTGCCAGATCTCTCACTACCTAGCTGTGTGATTACTGGCCAATTTCTCATGCTTCAAACATCATCTGTAGTATGAGAGGTTGGGATCTAATTATCTGAAGTTACTTAGGACTCTAAATTTTAATTTTAGAAATCTTTGTCAATAAGATTGTAATCAACAGGTGCTTTATAGTTAACCTAAAAATGTAATTGATCAAAACTTTCTAGTAATCAAACATAAAATTTCCTCAAGCCATGTCCTCAATTCTTACCCAACTCCTAGAAATGTCCTGAGGTCTCTGAGAATCACTATTTGAAAATGACTGTCCAGGGGAATAGTACAGTGTGTTTATTTTTTGAAGGCTTGTTTTATTTTAGTCATTGATCTATGTAATCACCGAGGCCATTATGTACAGATTAGTGGGGGGGGGGAGCTTTATTTCTTGGTCTCTTCGCACTGGACAAAGTCTTGATGATATACTCCTTGGTCTGGAGGCACTCAACACAATTGAGACAATCTGTTTAATACTTCATTCAAAGCTATGCACTTTTTTTCTGATGTCCAATTTCTCTCCTTCAAAGAACAGTTCAAATGCTACATCCTACAATTGAATCTTTTTGATTATCTTAGAAGTAATTTTTTCTTTCTCTATATTGTCACAGTTCTTCTTGTTGCTTTTATTACATTCCATGTCAGAGTATAGTCATTTATATATTGATTCATTTTTATCTCCTCTCCTACCTAAATCATAAGCATTTGAAATACAGTGATTTTTTTTGTCTTCTCTCCTCAGACTACCAACATATTGCCTTTATAACTGTTGGAATATTGTACATTGTGGAGCCTAATATATATGAAATTGAATTTTGTTGAGAATCATATTCAAGAATTACTCTAATCCCTCATGGAGTGGTTTAGAAATAGTCACTAGCCACACTGCTTATTTCATTTACGTACTTGACCTTCATGGAATGTCTATTATTTGCTAGTCACTTCAAATATACAACTGGAATTCTTTACAACAAAATTGAAAATAACTGCATTTTATCATAATGTAAATCTCACTTCTATGTCACCACATAAATGATGGAAACATTCAATGTGTATCCCTCAGGATACCTCACAGCCCACTCAACTGAATATTTACCAAATTGACTGCTTTTCTTTTGCCTGATTAGATCTAGTACTTATTTTGTGAACAAAGTTTTAATGTTTCTCCAAGATCTAGCTGTCCTTTGGATTAAATTTCCCAGTCCTACTTGAACCATGAGCATTCAGAAAGAACATTCCCATAACTAATAATCAGACCATAAATGCTATGAACCCTGATCTCCCTTGTTGAAATGATCTACTTCTGTCGCTTCTTGGAAGGAACTAAAGCAGATAAAAGTTGGAAACAGAGAAATCAAGCCCAGTCTTTGGTCTCAGTTTATATGGTGAGATAGGTGACCCAAAGGGCAACAAAGACACACTAGCCCCCAGATTACCAAAAATTTTCAGATCTAAAATGCTTGAAATACATTTTCATTTACAAATGATCATTTATGAAATTGTAGTAGTTTCACTTTCCAGTAGAGCAGGGTTTTCATTTATTCAGACTTTGAAATGCTTCAGAAACTTCATTTAAATCTATATAATAATTATGATTATAATACTACAAGTCAGCTTCACTTCATTACATCAAGATAAGGATAATTAGATCTATAAAATGGGAGTATTGAAAGTACCTTGTTCTCAAGATTTAGGTAAAAATTAAATGAGTTATTATGTGAGATACTTAGCACATAGTAACTAGTAACTATTCTTGCTGTTGCTATTATTATTGTTTAGTGTTAATTTTATTCTTATCTATGGATTGTTTTCAGTTTCCAAGAACCCAGTAAAATATGAATTTTCCATTGATTCCCCAGAAAATTGCATCCAGGCTATGTAGAAAAAAGTCACTGTCAGCACTGGTTGAAGAGCAATTCTCATCTTATATTTCACCATGAAAATTGTAATTTTACATGAGGTGATCTACACTGTCCTGAAGTCAGAGTAGTTTCTCATACTGATTTCATTCAATAATTTTCCTCTTTAATTGCTCTTCCCATTTCCCTGCAAAATAAAGCCCCACCATGCTTGAATTTCCAGGAGCCTAGAAAAAGAGATGTAAAGCTGCTGCCAATTTACCTATCACATTATATTGAATTTAACTGCAGAGTTAGCTTGGAAATCTCTGGATCCTAAAACCATCTTTAATTGCGTTTTTTTTTTTTTTTTTTTTTTTTTTTACTAAAAATGTTTGGGAGACAGGGCCGAGATGATGAACTAGAAGCAGTTCATGTGCACGGCTCTCATGGAGAAGAAAGCAAAGGGCTAGAGACCACTGCCGTGCAGGCCAATCAACAGAGAAATCATGTCGGGATCCATCAAGGCAGCAGTCAGAAACAGAGGACAGAGAGGAACAAAGCTGGCCACCAACCTGTTAGGTATCAGCATCTTAAAAAATATTGGCTGGGCGCAGTGGCTCACACCTGTAATCCCAGCACTTTGGGAGGCCAAGGCAGGTGGATCACCTGAGGTAAGGAGTTCGAGACTAGGCTGGCCAACATGGTGAAACCCCTTCTCTACTAAAAGTACACAAATTAGCCAGGTGTGGTGATGGGTACCTGTAATCTCAGCTACTTGGGAGGCTGCGGCAGGGAGAATTGCTTGAACCCAGGAGGCAGAGGTTGTAGTGAGCCAAGATCGTGCCACTGCACTCCAGCCTGGGTGATAGAGTGAGACTCCGTCTCAAAAAAAAAAAAAAAAAAAAGGATTTTATATCCGGCCAAACTAAGCTTCATAAGCGAAGGAGAAATAAGATCCTTTTCAGACAAGCAAATGCTGAGGGAATTCATTACTGAATGGAAAAACATTTCATGTTCTTGAATAGGAAGAATCAATATTGTTAAAATAGCCAGGAGAAACTCCCAAACATGGAAAGGGTGAGTGAATGAGAGCCCCCAGGGAGGTTCATGCTCCCCACAGGGACCTGTGCAAGACTGGGAATGGGGAGTCACCCTGCTCCCCCGCACCCTTCCACCACGCTTTTAGACATCAAAGCTGAAGGCATCACATTACCTGCCTTCGAATTATATTACACGGATACAGTAAACAAAACCGCATACTACAGGTACAAAACAAACACTAGACCAATGTTACAGAATAGCTAACCCAGAAATAAAGTCACAGACCTGCAACCATCTGATCTTTAATAAAGCTGACAAAAACAAGCAATGGAAAAGGACACCCTATTCAATAAATGGTGCTGGGATAACTGGCTAGCTGTATGCCGAAGACTGAAACTGGACCCGTTCTTTACAGCATATACAAAAATCAACTCAAAGTGGATTAAATTCCTAAATATAAAACCTCGAATTGTAAAAACCTTTGGAGATAACCTAGGAAATACCATTTTGGACACAGGAATTGGCAAAGATTTCATGAAGAAGATGCCAAAAGCAATTGCAGCAAAAGTAAAACGTGAGAAATAGGACCTTATTAAAGTAAAGAGCTTCTGCACAGCAAAAGAAACTATCAACAGAGTAAGAAGGCAACCTAGAGAATGGGAGAAAATATACATCTGACAAAGGTCTAATATCAAGAATCTTCAAGGAACTGAAACAAATGTGCAAGCAAAAAACAACCCTGTTCAAATGTGGGCAAAGTACATGAACAGACACTTTTCTAAAGAAGACATACATGTGACCAAGAAGCATATGAAAAAAGCTCAACACCATTGATTATTAGAGAAATGCAAATCAAAACCACAATAAGATACCATCTCACACCAGTCAGAACGGCTATTACTATGAAGTCAAAAAATAGAGATTCTGGCAAGGTTGTAGAGAAAGGGGAAAGTTTATACATTGCTGATGGAAGTGTAAATTAGTTCAACTATTAGGGAAAGCAGTATGGTGATTCCTCAAAGAACTAAAAACAGAAGTACTCTTTGACCCAACCATCCCACTACTGGGTATACACCCAAAGGAATATAAATTGTTCTACCATGAAGACACACACGCACATATGTTCGTTGCAGCACTATTCACAATAGCAAAGACATGGAATCAACCTGAATGTCCATCAATGAGAAAGTGGATAAAGAAAATGTGGGAAATGTGCACCATGGAATACTATGCAGCAATAAAAAGCAATGAGATCATTTCCTTTGCAGGAACATGGATGGAGTGAGGCCATTATCCATGGCAAACTAATGCAGGAACATAAAATCAAATACTGCTTGTTCTCACTTATAAGTGGGAGCTAAATGATGAGAACATATGAACAGAAAAAAAGGGAACAACAGGCACTGGGGCCTACTTGAGGGAGAAGGGTGGGAGGAGGGAGAAGTTCAGAAAAGAAATAAAACTGTCAGGTACTATCTTTAGTATCCAAGTGGCAAAATAATCAGTATGTACACCAAACCCCCAAATCATGTTTTTACCCATTTAACAAACCTGAACATGTACTCCTAAACCTAAAATAAAATTAAATATTTCTTCAATCTTTCCTTTATTTATGTGTCCATCCTTCCATCATCCATTGATCCATCCATTTATCTATCCATCCATCTTTCCATCCGTCCATCCATCCATTCATGTATGTTGATAGTTATAATCCCACCTACTTTCCAAAGGGATCTGAAGGGTCTTATGATCAAGGCCAAGGTACAATGATCACGGGGTAAAAGAAAGAAACAAGTAACATGAGAGGAGAGGACTTTCCACTCTACAAGTCACCTCTGTTTTCTTTTCCTTTCATCCATCTTTTCTTCTTTGGCTGCTCCCTGTTCTACCTCTTTTCATTAGTCCCTGTTGATAATGCCTGGAGTCAGCCAGCACTTTCCTTTAGCTAAGGAAGTGGTACTCCAGCTGAAAAGACTTCAGCCCAGCCAACCTGGACTGTCAGCATTGCCTTTCAGTGGTAAATTATTTAGAATAGGATGGAATAAGAAACCTGAGGTGATGCTGAGTGGACCAGTCTTTGTCAGGCAGAGAGCACAATGGCTAACATTATAGGAATTATAATACAATTCTACCACAGCAAAACAGTGAAGATAACTAAATGTTTCCAAAATGAGATTATGACTTGTAACTGTTTTCTAATTTCAGTGTACAAATGTTAGCAATAGAGCTAATCATCCCTCTTGAGTATCTTTATAACCAAAGTAGACTTATTATTCTCTCCTCCATCCTCATCCCACCTCTCTCCTGCCCCACAATAGAACAGTAAGAGTCATTGGTCTGGGATTCTGGAAGACACTCACCTGTGTTAGAATTAAGATCATCAGGCTCTGATTCGGTCCCATTTTGGCTTCCATTTCCCTGAAGAGTGTTCATAGCCATAAGCTTCATCTTCTGAAGTTTCATCGCCTCAGCCATCGCTGCAGCTGTTATACCTAAAAGCAGAATTATTCCATTCCATTTATTTATTTATATTAATAATTTCAACTTTTATTTTAGATTTGGGGGTACAAGTGCAGGCTTTTCACATGAAAATATTGCATGATACTGAGGCTTGAGCTATGGATGATCCTTTGTAAAATGGGGATCATTTCTTAATGTAATTGAAAGCTGGATAAATTTATTTAACAGAGCTATGCTACATAGCACAAACCAAAATTAACTTGAATTTGTTAATATTTTTAACAATGTAACTTTCAATTCTTATAATTCCTTCATGCTACAATGAATAGTTTATAAATTTAGAAAAATATATATTAAATATATATCTGATCCCCAATTTGAAACACAAATAAAACAAAGATAGTAAAATGCAAATAGTTTAAAAAATTCCAAGACTCTTGCTAATGTATTCTTTTGTCTGCTAAGAGTTTTGGACAGTTATTTTGGACAGAATTCACTATGTAGTAAATTCCATCTAAAACAACATTGTCAGTGGGAGCACTCTGAAATTCTAAATGAAACCCCTTTGAGTGTGTATCCTCATTAGTGCATATCTAAAGGAACCCTTTTCTAGTGCATATCCTTGCTGGCACTTTTATAAAGGATAGGCTGCCTAGCCTATGAGGATCAGCTTAGCAGGGAGGGGGAGAAGAAGGAAAAGACTTCAGGTATTCTTTCTACCTTTTTATCTGCCTAATACTTATACACTGAGGGACCAAATGAATGAAAATATGGCATGTACCTATATAGCCAGCGTCTGTAGTATAGTTATAATCTTTTGTATTAATAAAAGTCAGATATTAAAATAAAGCTCTCAGCATAATGGTATAAAAAGGTGGGGTGTGGGGTAATGGCCATAGATTAAAAAGTGAATATGCAAGTTTGAAATTATTTCTCCTAGGAAGTCTATATCAGACAGCAACACAACCATATATAAGGAAACAAGTACTAAAAGTACCAGAACAATCCATACTCCAACGATGTCCTCCAAAAAGTCTAGTGAATTCAACTTAATTATTTTTAGATAATGTCCCTAATCATCTACTGGTACACTGCTACCATGGGCCAAAAAGAAAAATCTGGTAGATTTTGAAGGATTATTTCAGAATTCAGTAAAATTCATCCTACCATAAAAACGTGATTCAAGGAAAAGAAGGCAAATATTGGTTTTTCAAAAAAGAAACATAACTGTCATTAGAAGATCCTGATTCTAAGAGGTAAGGTGAATCCTTATCAAATATGTAAGCTGAGGTAAATACAGCCTAAACCGTCTAACTGTGTGTTTGGTAGAATAACTAAGGTTCTATTTTGCCATTCTGTACTCCTTATGATGCATAGAAAACTCGTAATGAAGCAAACTTTTCATCACATTAGATTGTCTCTAAATCATCGCAAAGAAAAAATCTGAAGGGAAATTTCCTTAGTATCTAAACTGATGATATACATTTGTACATTATCTTGATGGCCAAAGAGATTTTCTTGCCACATCTAGTTTAGCTTTATAAAATTCCAGTCCCCCAGATAACCCATTCAGCTCCCAAAGGGTATGTCTAGACAGAAAATATGATGGCAATGATTTAAACAAATGGACATTGCTTAGGATCACCATGACTGGGTGCCTCATAATCAAAACTGTATCAATAAGTTTCCAGAATTTACATTGGCTCCTCAGAACTGAATCCTGGCTATGATAATTACTGAATTAATAGGTATTTTATTATTTGTAGGGTAAATAATGGATTTCAGTGAACAATATATGCTTCCTAACTCTGAAAACTAAAGGTATACAAATATCTAAACCCTCTCACAGATAAAGAAAATTCGTTGTAAAATGTTTGTCTCCTATGATGATATTAAGAGAATTAATGAGCCAGACTCCCCACATATTTTTAATTCGTACAAAAGATTTAGAAGCTAGTTTAATTCTTCAGTTTGCAGATGAGGAAACTGAGTCTCAGATTGAACCATTATAGGTCAGTTATTTAGGTGAAGATATGGAGCAGAAGACCAAGTTTCCTGATGGAACCTAGATGTATTTGTTAAAGTCCTAAAGTAGCTCACACATGAGTTAAAAAAAAAATCTCTAAAGGATACGATCTCCTTACCACATATGGTCATGCATTTTTTGTTGTCTTTTATATAGCTCCTTACACTTTATTCAAAGTTTAGAGGTATAGCCTATATAACATATATTTTGTATTGCCTCATGGTGCAGAAAAAATTTATTTGATTTTTTATTTTATTTTTAAAAAACTACTTTACAGAGGTACAATTGAGATACAAAAATCTGTACATATATAATGTGTACAACTTGATGAGCTTGGAGCTAAGTTTATACCCATGAAACCATCACCATAATTTATACCATAATTGCAGTGACTTTAAGCTTATGAAACTCTTAAATCCTATTTGTTTAGTCTTCAGTACAGCACCTGAATATCTGTGTCTTCAGATAAAACTATACTCAAGGATAGGAAAGCAGTGGAAAAGATGTTTTGGTTCATATGAATTTTTCATAGCAATTTGGCCTTTTATTCAACTGTTCAATTAAATTCTTATCCTCAGGAAGCTTCTCAGTGTAACACTGATAGATTTAGAATAGCAGTTTAGCACCTGGCCACAAGTTCTCAAAACGCAGGTCTGGAATGATACATAAAAAGGGCAATACATAAAGCTGATTCAGGAGTTACTTAGTTAAATTTTACTTGGGAACCAAAATTTCAACTTGCACCGGACAACTAGAAAATAGTAAGTTAGATGAAAATGAAAAGATGCATTTAAAAGTGAAAGTGCTACAATATAGGTAAAAAGTCACACATACACCTAAAAGTATAAAAGTTGTCCTTTTCAGTCACTGAATCTGAAAATAACACATTTACATTATGTTCAAATTACATATATTTAAATCATTGAAATTGGTTTGGAAAGGCAGAGATTCAATGTTACTGGGAAAACATTCACATTTTGCACTTACCGATAACTGAGCATTTACTTCTGTATCCTCAATGCCTTCTATTCTTGTTCACTTAATTTCATTATTGCCTCAATGTCTAGTCACTGTAATTATTGACCAAGTCATAATGTATAGCCCTTATGGTACTCTACACTCTTCTTTTTATAATTTAAACATATTTATTAAGTTATTTGATTTGTTATTTTCTTTTTTAAAAACTACTTTACTGAGGTATGATTCAGATACAAAAAGCTGTAAATATATACTGCATGAACTTGATGAGTTTGGACATATGTATATATCCATGAGACCATTACCATAGTCTATACCATAAACCTCCATAAGTTTCTGCCTGTCCACTTTATATATTATTGTTGTTGTTTGTGTGATAAAAACATGTAACATAAGACCTACCCTCTTAGCAAAGTTTTAAGTATACAATACAGTATTGTTAACTATAGACACTATGCTGTACAGTAGATCTCTAGGACTTATTCATCTTGTACATCTGAAACTTTGCTCATCTCAACTAATAGCACCCTGTTTCCTCTTCTCCTCAGTGCACGACAACCACCATTCTAATATCTGCTTCCATGAGTTTGACTATTTTAGATTCATCATATAAGTGGTGTCATGGTGTTTGTCCCTCTGTATGACTTATTTCATTTAGCATATCATGCTTCAGGTTTATTCATGTTGTCACAAATGGGAAGATTTCATTCTTTGTAAAAGCTGAATAAAATTCCATTGTATATAATATATAAATACCAGGTTTTTTAAATCCATTCATCCATTGTTGGTCATTTAGGGTTTTTAATATATTGGCTATTGTTAATAAAGCAGCAATGAACACGGGAGTGCAGATATTTCTTTAAGATTATGATTTTACCTCATATATATTCAGAAGTGGGATCGTTGGATGGTATGATAGTTCTATTTTTAATTTTTTGAGAAACCAACATACTGTTTTCCATACTGGCTAAACCAGTTTACATTCTCACCAATATAATTGTGCAAACGTTCTCTTAATCCACATTTTCACCAATATTTCTTATATATATTTTTAAAAATAATAGTCCTATTAACAAGTGTGAGGTGATATCTCATTACGGTTTTGATTTGCATTTCCCTGATGATTAGTGATGTTGAACATGTTTTTTCATATACCTGTTGGTCATTTGTATGTCTTATTTCAAGAAAAAAAATATTTTCAGCTCTGTTGCCTATATATATATTTATTTATTTAAATATATTTAGGATGTATAAGTGTCAGTTTCATACATCCATATATTGCATAGAGATAAGGTCTTGGCTTTTAGCGTTTATTTTTTGTTATTGAGTTGCAGGATATCCTTATATATTTTGTATACTAACCCTTTGTTATATATATGATTTGAAAACATATTCCTCCATTCCGTAGGTTGCCCTTTCACTCTGTTGATTGCTTTCTTTGCTGTGTAGAAGCTTTTTAGTTTGATATAGTACCACTTCATGTTTGCTTGTGTTACCCATGCTTTTGGTGTCATATCCAAGAAATCATTGCCAAGACCAATATCAAGAAATTTTTTCCCTATGTTTTCTTCTATCAGTTTTGTCATGTCAGGTCTTATATTTAACTCCATTTTTTTTAAATAAAAGTATATATTTAAGGGTTACCAGTGCAGTTTTATGGATATATTGTGTATTGGTGAACTCTGGATTTTTAGTGTAACAATCATCCGAACAGTTTGTATTGTACCCATTAAGTAATTTCTCAACCCTCACCCCCTACCTGCCCTCCCACCCTTCTGAATCTCCAATGACTATTACTTTACACTCTATGCGCATGTATACATGTCATTTAGCTCCCACTTATAAGTGAGAACATGCAGTGTTTGAATTTTCATTTCTGACTTGTTGCACTTAAAGTAATGGCCTCCAGTTCTACGCATGTTGCTGCAAAAGACATGTCATTCTTTCTTACAGCTAAATAGTATCCCATGTTGTATGTGTAAATCATATTTTATTTCTTTTTTAAACTTTTTATTTCAGGCTTGGGGGTACATGAGAAAGTCTGTTACACAGATAAACATATGTCATGGGGGTTTGTTGTACATATTATTACATCACCCAGGTATCAATCACAGTACTCAATAGTTATCTTTTTTGCTCATATCCTCCACCACCCTCTCCCCTAAAGTAGACCTCAGTGTCTGCTGTTCCCTTCTTTGTGTTCATAAGTTCCTATCATTTAGCTCTCACTCAGAAGTGAAAACATGCAGTATTTGGTTTTCTGTTCCTGCCTTAGTTTGTTAAGGATGATAGCCTCCAGTTTCATCCATTTTCCCCAAAAAGGCATGATCTTGTTCCTTTTTATGGCTGCATAATATTCCGTAGGGTATATATACCACATTTTCTTTATCCAGTCCATCATTGATGGACATTTAAGTTGATTCCATGTCCCTAGCATTGTGAACAGTGCTGCAGTGAACATTTGCATGCATGTGCCTTTCTGGTAGAATGCTTTATATTCTTCTGGGTATATACCCAGTAATAGCATTGCTGGGTCAAATGGTAGTTTTGCTTTTAGCTCTTTGAGGAATCCCCATACTGCTTTCTACAAAGATTGAACTAATTCACACTCCCATCAACAGTGTATAAGTGTTCCCTCTTCTTTGTAACCTTGCCAGCATATGTTAATTTTTTTTCTTTTTCATGATACCCATTTTGATTTGCATTTTAATTTTGATTTGCATTTTTATAATGATCAGTGATATAGAGTTGTTTTTTCATATGCTTGTTCGCTGCATGTAGGTCTTCTTTTGAAAAGTGTCTGTTCATGTCCTTTGCCCACTTTTTAGAGGGGTTGTTTTTATCTTGTAAATTTGTTTAAGTCCCTTATAGATGCTGGATATTAGAATTTTGTCAGATGCATAGTTTGCAAATATTTTCTCCTATTCTGTAAGTTGTCTGTTTACTCTGTTGATAGGTTCTTTTGCTGTGCAGAAGCTTTGAAGTTTAATTAGATCTCATTTGTTAATGTTTGCTTTTGTTCTGCTTGCTTTTGGTGTCCTTCTCATGAAATCTTTGCCCATTCCTAGGTCCAGGATGGTATTGCCTAGGTTGTCTTCCAGGGTTTTTATAGTTTTTGGTTATACATTTAAGTCATTAATCCATATTGAGTTAATTTTTGTATATGCTTTAAGGAAGGGGTCCAGCTTCAATCTGCTCCATATGACTAGCCCAGTTATCCCAGCACCATTTATGAAATAGGGAGTCTTTTCCCCATTGCTTGTTTTTGTCAGCTATGTCAAAGATCAGATGGTCATAGATATTCACTGTTATTTCTGCACTCTCTATTTTGTTCCATTGGTCTATGCACCTGTTTTTGTACCAGTGCCACACTGTTTTGGTCATTGTAGCCTTGTAGTATAGTTTGAAGTCAGGTAATGTGATTTCTCCAGCTTTGTTCTTTTTGCTTAGAATTTCCTTGGCTATTCCAGCTCTTTTTTGGTTCCATATAAATTTATTTTTTTCTAGTTCTGTGAAGAATGTTGTTGGTAGTTTGATAGGAATAGTGTTAAATTTGTACATTGCTTTGGGCAGTCTAGCCATTTTAATTAGTTGATTCTTCCTATCCATGGGCAAGGAATGTTTTTCCATCCATTTGTGTCTTCTCTGATTTATTTGAACAGTGTTTTGTAGTCCTCATTGCAGAGATCTTCCACCTCCCTAGTTAGCTGTATTCCTAGGTATTTTAATTTCTTGTGACAATTATAAGTGGGATTGTCTTTCTGACTTGGCTCTCAGTTTGGCTGTTGTTGGTGTATAGGAACTCTAGTAATTTTTGTACATTGATTTTGTATCCTGCAACTTTGCTGAAGTTATGTGTCAGCTGAATCATATCGTCCACAAACAGAGATCGTTTGACTTCCTCTCTTCCTATTCAGATGCCCTTTTTTCTTTCCTTTGCCTGATTGCTCTGGCTAGGACTTCCAATACTATGTTGAATAGATGTGATGAAAGAGGGCATCCTTGTCTTGTTCCAGTTTTCAAGGAGAATACTTCCAGCTTTTGCACGTTCAGTATAATGTTTACTGTGGGTTTGTCATAGAAGGTTCTTATTATTTTGAAGTATGTTCCTTCAAAACCTACTTCATTGAGAGTTCTTAACATGCAGAGGTGTTGAATTTTATCAAAAACCTTTTCTACGTCTATAGAGATAATCATTTGGTTTTTGTCTTTAGTTCCGTTTATGTGATGAATCACATTTATTGATTTTTGTATGTTGAACCAACCTTGCATCCTGGGGATGAAGCCTACTTGATTATGGTGGATTAGCTTTTTGATGTGTTGCAAGATTTGGTTTGCAAATATTTTTGTGGAGGTTTTTTTTTGCATCAATATTCATCAAGGATATTCACCTGAAGTTTTCTTTTTTGTTGTGTGTCTGCCAGGTTTTGGTTTCAGGATGATGACGGTCTCTTAGAATAAGTTGGGGAGGAGTCCCTCCTCTTCAGTTGTTTGAAATAATTTCAGCAGAAATTGTGTGAGCTCTTCTTTGTACATCTGGTAGAATGTGGCTGTGATTCCATCAGGTCCTGGGCTTTTTTTGGTTGGTAGGCTTATTACTGATTCAATTTCAGAGCTCGTTATTGGTCTGTTCTGGGAATCAATTTCTTCCAGGCTCAGCCTTGGGAGGTTGTATGTGTCCAGGAACTTATCCATATCTTCTAGGTTTTCTAGTTTGTGTGTGTAGAAATGTTTGTAGTAGCTTCTGATTGTTGTTTTGATTTCTGTGGGGTCAGTAGTATCATTCCCTTCCTCATTTCTAATTGTGTTTATTTGGATCTTCTCTCTTTCTTTCTTAATTAGTCTAGCTAGTGGCCTATTTTATTTTATTTTTTTCAAAAAAAAAAAAAAACAATTCCTGGATTCACTGATCTTTTGAATGGCTTTTATGGGCCTCAGTTCCCTTCAGTTCAGCTCTGATTTTTGTTATTTCTCATCTTTTGCTAGTTTTGGGGTTGATCAGTTCTTGCTTCTCTAATTCATTCTGTTGTGAAATTAGATTGTTAATTTGAAATCTTCCTAACTTTTTTATGTGGGCATTTAGTGCTATGAATTTCCCTCTTAACACTGCCTTCTATGTGTCCCAGAGATTCTGGTATGTTGCATCTTTGTTCTCATTATTTTTAAAGAACTTATTGATTTCTGTCTTAATTTCATTATTTACCACAAATCTTTCAGGAGCATGTTGTTTAATTTTCATATAATTGTATGTTTTTTAGAGATTTTCATTGTGTTGATTTCTATTTTTATTGAGCTGTGGTCTGAAAAGGTGTTTGGAATGATTTTGGTTCTTTTCCATTTGTTGGGGATTGTTTTATGTTCAATTACTTAATTGATTTTAGAGTATGTGCCATGTGGCAATGAGAAGAATGAATATTCTGTTGTTTTAGGGTGAAGAATTCTGTGAAGGTCTATCAGATCCATTTGGTCCAATGCTGAGTTTATGTCCTCAGTATGTTTGTTCATTTTCTTCCTCAATGATCTATCTAATGCTGTCAGTGGAGTGTTGAAGTCTCCCACTCTTATTCTGTGGGAGTCTATGTTTCTTTGTATGTCTCTAAGAGCTTGCTTTCTGAATCTGGATGTTCCTGTGTTGGGTGCATATATATTTAGGATAGTTAGCTCTTCTTGTTGAATTGAACACTTTACCATTATGTAATGCTCTTCCTTGTCTTTTTTTTATCTTTATTGGTTGGAAATCTGTATTTCTGAAATTAGAGTTGCAACTCCTGTTTTTTTCTGTTTTCCATTTGCTTGATAGATTTTTCTACATCCCTTTATTTTGAGCCTATGAGTGTCATGACGTGAGGTGGATCTCTCAAAGACAGAATACTATGGGGTCTTGCTTTTTTATCCAGCTTACCACTATGTACCTTTTAAGTGGGGCATTTAGCCCATTTACATTCAAGGTTAGTATTGATATGTGTGGATTTGATATTGTCATTATGCTGTTAGCTGGTAACTATGTTGGCTTGTTTGTGTGATTGCTTTACAGTAACACTGGTCTGTGTGTTTAAGTGTGTTTTTGTCTTAGCTGGTAGTGATCTTTCCTTTCTATATTTAGTGGTCCTTTCAAGATCCCTTGTAAGACACTTCTAGTGGTAATAAAGTCCCTCAAAATTTGCTTATCTGAAGAGGATCTTATTTCTCCTTCACTTAGGAAGCTACATTTGGCTGGATATGAAATTATTGGTTGAAGATTTTTTTCTTTAAGAACGTTGAATAAATATAGGCCCCCAATCTCTTAAGACTTGTAGGATTTCAGTTGAGAGGTCTGCTGTTAGCCTGATGGGAATCCCTTTGTAGGTTACCCGCCCTTTTTCCTCAGTTGTGTTGAACATTCTTTCTTTCATTTCAATCTTGGAAAATCAGATGGTTATGTGTCTTGGGGAGTATCTTCTTGTATAGAATCTTGCAGAAGTTCTCTGTATTTGCTGAATTTGACTGTTGGCCTCTCTAGCAAGGTTGGGAAGTTTTCATGAACAATCTTCTGAAATATATATTCCAAGTTGTTTGCTTCTCCCCTTCCCTTTCAGGGGTGCCAATGATTCGTAGATTTTGCCTCTTTACATAATCCCATATTTCCTGGAGATTCTTGTCATTCATTTTTATTTTCTTTCTTTATTTTTGTCTGACTGTCTTATTTCAGAGAACCAGTCTTCAAGTTCCAGGATTCTTTTATCAACTTGGTTTATTCTGCTGCTGACACTTGTGACTGCATTGTGAAATTCTTCCATTGTGTTATTCAGCTCTGCCTGACACGTTAGGTTCTTCTTTACACTGACTGTTTTGTCCTTCAGCTCCTGTATCACTTTATTGTGATTCATATTGTCCTGGGATTGGGTTTTGCCATCCTCCTAAATCTCAATGATCTTTGTTCCTATCCATATTCTGAATTCTATTTCTGTTATTCCAGGCAGTTTTGCCTTGTTAAGAACTCTTGTTGGAGGGCTGGTGTGATCATTTGGAGAATATACGACACTCTGGCCATTTTAGTTATTAGAGTTCTTAGGCTGGTTCTTTCTCATCTCTGTGTGTGATTGTTCCTTTAATTGCAGTGTAAATTGAATACAGTCAATAGACTTCTTTTTTGGATGTTTTCACCAGGCCAAGGCTTTGTGTAGAGTCTTTATTTGAAGCTGACTTTTTGTCTCTGGTTTCAGATGGGGAAATGTTAGTAAAGTATTGTTGGGGTTGAAGCTTTGGGATGTGATCCAGCAGGTGACACTTAGCCTTACTGGTCAGTTGGTAGACCCTTGCTTGGTTGTGTGGCTCCCCTATGTTTCCTCACAGTTGCAGCTGTGTTCCCTCTCGTGCTCTGAAAGGGTGGCTTCCTCTCCCCCTTGAGTGCTTGCTGTAGTTCATGACTTGGCACTCCTTAGCTGCCCACTGCAGTTCCTAGGCGATCTCAGTGTTTATGTTCCTTCCCCAGCTCAGAGGCAGCAGATGAAGAGATCTTGGTGGTTGTGGCCAAGGGTTATTTTGCTTGACTCTTGGGGGATCTACCGCAGAGAGAGATGCAGGTGTAAGCAATCACTCCATCCAGTCAGCCCAAGAGAGAAGGTTTGTGCTTTGGGCCCAAGCCAGGGGTTTACTGTCTGGTTATGAACCGTGAGAGTTGTGTGGGGCATGGGGGAGACTGACTGGCCTCTCCTTGTGTCTGTAGCTTGTTGGAGATGTGGATAAAGCACTTAGGGTCTTTGCTTCTTCATTAGTCTGGGGGTGGCAAGGACAGTTCCACAGCAGAGGCAGTGGCAGAGAGGTTTTCAGTTGCCTTTGGAGGCTCTGTCCAGGGAGTTGCTGAGTTTGTACTGGCTCAACAGCTCTGGCGGGGGGTGGCTGGAAGCACAGGCTGGAGGGCCTGCCAGATGAGGAGATATGGGAACAGGCACGCATGTAACAATCTGGCCACTTTTCCTTAGGGCTGCTGCAGTATGCTTGGGGCCCGCTCCAGTCTCTAGTCACCTGGGATTTTCCAGAACCCAGAGGTGTCATCAGTGAAGGATGCAAAACAGCAAAGATGATAGCCTGTCCCTCCCTCTGGGAGATTTATCCCAGGGAGGTACAAACCTGTTGCTGTTCCAAAAGCACCTGTAGGAAGTGGCTGGAGACCGTAGTTGGGAGGTCCTTCTCAGTGAGGATAAATAGGATCAGGCACCCACTTAAAGCAGCAGTCTGACCATGTTTTGGTAGATCAGCTGTGCTATGCTTGAGGATCCCTTCTGCCCTGGGTCAGCTCAGAATCTTCAAAGCCTGATGGCTGGAACTACTAAGGTGCCCCAGTAGCAAAGATGGTGGCCTGCCCCTCCACCAAGGAGCTCCTTCTTAGGGAGGTGCAATGCCACTCCTGGTAGCTGGCTGGAATTCCAAACCAGTGTGTCTTATATTGTGACGTGCCTTGGAAGTGGGGCCAGTGGGTCTTATATTGTGACGTGCCTTGGAAGTGGGGCCTGCAGGCTGTTGCTTCTCAGCCCCCTGGATTCAGCCTCTTTCCTAGGGGTATGTACCATAGTCTAACCTCCACTTTGCAGGAGCTGCAGCTACCTTTGCCAGTAAGCCCAAGTATTTAAGGCTCCAGGGTCTCCAACACATGCCTGAGCAGCTGCTCAGAGCTCCATGTAGCTCTGTCTGTCAGACTGAAGACTGAAGGTCCTGGTGGACTGGGTTCACAAGGACATATCCTGACCTGAGTGTTGCAAAGATCTATGGGAGAAGTGTGGTTTCCCAGGGTCGCTCATTCATTCACCACTTCCCTGGGCAAGGCTCCATGTTGCTCCCAGGTCGGCTGTTTTCCGGTCTTGCTTTTCTTCATTCTCTGTGGGTCAAGTTGTTTCCTGGATCAATTCCAATGTGAGTACCTGGATGTTACAGTTGAAGATGTTGTGTTTACTGGCAGTTTCTCTTCCTCTCTGTTCCTCTCTGTGAGAACCACACACACTAGCTGCTTCTAGTTGGCCATCTTGGCCACTCATCGCTACCATATTTTCTTTATCCACTCATTCATTGATGGACATTTAGGTGGATTCCATATCTTTGCTATCGTGACTAGTGCTGCAATAAACATATAAGTGTAGGTATATTTTTGATATAATAATTCCTTTTCCTTTTGGTAGATACCCAGTTGTGGGACTGCTGGATTGAATGGTAGTTCTATTTTTAGTTCATTGAGAAATTTCCATACTGTTTCCATATAGATCGTACTAATTTACACACCCACTAACAGTGTATAAGCATTTCCTTTCTACATATACTCACCAACATTTGTTATCTTTTTTTCCTTTTTAAAAATAGCCAGTCTGACTGGTATAAGATAATATCTCATTATGGTATTAATTTGAATTTGTCTGATGAATAGTGACATTAAGCATTTTTTCACATGCTTGTTTGCCATTTGTATGTCTTCTTTTCAAAAGTGTCTATTCATGTCCTTTACCTGCTTGTTAATGGGGTCTTTTTTTTATTTGTTGTTGAGTTGTTTAAGTTTCTTATAAATTATGACTATCAATCCCCTGTTGGATGCAGAGTTTGCAAATATTTTCTCCCACTCTGCCAGTGGTCTGTTCACTCTGTAGATTATTTCTTTTTCTGTGCCAAATTTTTCAGTTTAATTCCCATTTGTCTATTTCTGTTTTTGTTGTTTGTGCTTTTGAGGACTTAGTCATGAATTAATTGCTTAGACAAATGTCCAGATGAGTTTCTCCTGGGTTTTCTTCGGATATTTTTATAATTTCAGGTGTTACATTTAACTCGTTAATCCATCTGGAGCTAGTTTTTTCATATGGTGAGAGACAGGGATCCAGTTTCATTCTTCGGCATATGGTAATCCAATGTTCCCAGCACCATTGAAGAGGGTGGCTGTCCGTTCCCCAGTGTATGTTTTTGTCAACTTTGTTAAACATCAGTTGGCTGTATGTACATGGCTTTATTTCTGGGATCTCTATTCTGTTCCACTGATCTCTGTGTCTGTTTTAACACCAGTTTCTTATTGTTTTCGTTAGTGTACCTCTGATGTATAATTTGGGATCAGTATTGTGATACCTCTGCCCTTGTTCTTTTTGCTTAGGATTGCCTTGGCTATTCAGGCTCCTTTTTGGTTCCACGTGAATTTTAGGAAAATGACATTGGTATTTTTTAAAATTTAACTTGTACTTTAGGTTTTGGGGTACATGTACAGGTTTAGTATGTCGGTAAATTTGTGTCACGAGGGTTTGTTATACAGATTATTTCATCACTCAGGTACTATGCCTAGTACCCATTAGTTACTTTTCCTGATCTGCTTCCTCCTCCCAAGCTCCACTCTCTAATAGGCCCCAGTATGTGTAGTTTCTCTCTATGTGTCCAGGTGTTCTCATCATTTAGCTCCCACTTATAAGTGAGGATATGTGGTATTTGCTTTTCTGCTCCTGCATTAGTTTGCTAAGGATAATGGTCTGCAAATCCATCCACGTTCATACAAAGAACATGATTTTGTTCTTTTTTATGGCTGCATAGTATTCCATGGTGTATATACACCGCATTTTCTTTAATCAGTCTACCAATGGTGGGAATTTAGGTTGATTCTGTGTCTCTACCATTGTGAATAGTGCTGCAAATGTCTTTGGGCATAATAATACCATTCAACACAGCAATCCTCTAATGGGGATTGTTGAGTTGAATAGTATATTTTTTTTGGGTCTTTGAGGAATAGCCACACTGTTTTCCATGATGGTTGAATTATCTTACACACCAACCAACAGTATATAAGTGTTCCTTTTTCTCTGAAAACTAACCAGCATCTGTTTTTTTTTTTTTTTTTTTTTTTTTTTTTTTTTTTTTTTTGGCTTTTCAGTAATAGCCATTCTGACTCATGCTACGTGGTATGTCATTGTGGTTTTGATTTGCATTTCTCTAATAATCAGTGATGTTGAGCTTTTTTTCATATGCTTCTTTTGCATGTGTGTCTTCTTTTGAAAAGTGTCTGTTCATGTCCTTTGCCCACTTTTTAATGGGGTTACTCAGTTTTTTTTTTTTTTTTGTAAATTTGTTTAAGTTTATTATAGATGCTGGATATTTGAACTTTGTCACAGGTATACTTTGAAAAAATTTTCTCCCATTCTGTAGGTTATGTGTTTACTCTGTTGATACTCTCTTTTGCTGTACAGAAGCTCTTAGTTTAATTAAATCTCATTTGTCAATTTTTGTTTTTGTTGCAATTGCTTTTGGTGTCTTTGTCATGAAATCTTTGCCCATTCCTTTGTCCAGAATGGTATTGCGTAGGTTGTATTCTAGGGTTTTTATAGTTTGGGGTGTTACATTTAAAACTTTAATCCATATTGAGTTAATTTTTGTGGATGATGTAAGAATGGGGTACAGTGTCAATCTTCTGCATACAGCTTGCCAGTTATCCCAGCATCATTTATTGAATAGGCAGTTCTTTCCCCATTGCTTGTTTTTGTCAGTGTTGTCAAAGATCAGGTAGTTGTAGTCGTGTGGCCTTATTTCTGGGCTCTCTATTCAGTTTCATTGGTCTATGTGTCTGTTTTTATACCAGAAGCATGCTGGTTTTGTTTTGTTTTGTTTGTTAGTTTGTTTATTTTGAGATGGAGTTTCACTCTTGCTGCCCAGGCTGCAATGCAATGGGGTGATCTCAGCTCACTGCAACCTCTGCCTCCCGCGTTCAAGTGATTCTGCTGTCTCAGCTTTCTGAGTAGCTGGGATTACAGGCACCCGTCACTACGCCCGGCTCATTTTTGGTATTTTTAGTAGAGATGGGGTTTCACCATGTTGGCCGGGCTGGTCTCGAACTCCTGACCTCAGGTGATCTGCCCGCCTCAGCCTCCCAAAGTGTTGAGATTACAGGTGTGAGCCATTGTGCCCAGCCTAGCATGCTGTTTTGGTTAATGTAGCCCTGTAATACAGTTTAAACTCAGGTAGCATGATCCCCCGAGCTTTGTTCCTTTTACTTAAAATTGCTTTGGCTATTTGGGCTCATTTTGGCTCCATATGAATTTTAAAATAGTTTTCTCTGGGTTTGTGAAGAATGTCATTGATAGTTTAATAGGAATAGCACTGAATCTATCAATTGCTTTGGGAAGTATGACCATTTTAAAAATATTATTTATTTCTATCCATGAGTATGGGATGTTTTTCCATTTGTTTGTGTCATCTCTGATTTCTTTGGGCAGTGTTCAGTAGTTCTTCCTACAGGGATCTTACACTTCCCTGGTTAGCTGTATTCCTAGGAATTTTATACTTTTTGTGGCAATTGTGAATGAGACTGTGTTCATGATTTGATTCTCAATTTGACTGTTGTTGGTGTATAGGAATGTTAGTAATTTTTATGCATTGATTTTGTATTTTGAGACTTCATTGAAGTTGTTTATTAGCTTAAGGAGCTTTTGGGCCAAGACTATGGGGTTTTCTAGATATAGGATCATGTCATCTGCAAACAGAGATTGCTTGACCTCCTCTCTTTCTATTGGCATGCAGTTTCTTTCTTTCTCTTGATTGATTGCTCTACCCAGCACTTCCAATATTATGCTGACTAGGAGTGGTGAGAGAGGGCATTCTTGTCTTGTGCCAGTTTTCAAGGGGAATGCTTCTGGCTTTTAACCATTAAGTATGATGTTGGCTGTGGGTTTGTCATAGATGTCTCTTACTATTTTGAGGTATGCTCCTTCAATACCTAGTTTGAGAGGTTTTTTTTTTTTTTTTTTTAACACTATGGAGTGTTAAATTTTATCCAAAGCCTTTTCTGCATCTATTGAGATAATCATCTGGTTTTGTCATCAGTTCTGTTTATATGATGAGTCACATTTATTGATTTGTGCATGTTGAAGCAACCTTGCATCCCAGGAATAAAGCCTACTTGATTGAGGTAGATAAGCTTTTTGATGTGCTGTAGAATTTGTTTTGCCAGTATTTTGTTGAGGATGTTTGCATCTGATGTTCCTCAAAGGTATTAGCCTGAAGTTTTCTTCTTTCGTTATGTCTCTACCAGGTTTTGGCATCAGGATAATGCTGGCCTTATAGAATAAGTTAGGGAGGAGTCCCTCCTTCTCAATTTTTTGGGGGAATATTTTCAGTGGGCATGGTACCAGCTCTTCTTTTTATATCTAGTGTAATTCAGCTATGAGACTTTGATATTTTGATAAAGATTGCAGGGAATCTGTAGATTGCTTTGGGCAGTACTGTCATTTTGATTACATTAATTCTTCTAATTCATGAGCATGGTATATATTTTCATTTGTTTTTGTCCTCTACAATTTCTTTCATCCATGTTTTGTAGTTTTCTTTTACAGATCTTTCATTTTCTTGGTTAAATATATTCCTAGGTATTTTAATTTTTGTAGCTATTATAAATGGGATTAATTTGGTTCTCAGCTTGATTGTTGTTGGTGTACACAAATGCCACTGATTTTCATACCTTGATTTTGTGTCCTGAAAATATACTAAATTCATTTATGAAATCTGAGTTTTTTGGTGGAGTCTTTTGGTATTCTAAATATAAGATCATGTCATCTTCAAAGTGGACCAATTTGACTTCCCTGTTTCCAATTTTAATGTCTTTTATTTCTTTCTCTTGTCTAGTTGCTCTGGCTAGAATTTTCAGTAATATGTTGAGTAGAAGGGGTGAAAGTGGGCATCCTTGTCTTATTCTAGTTCTTAGGAGGATTGCTTTCATCTTTTCCCCATTCAATATGTTGTTGGCTGTAAGTTTGTTATGTATTGCTTTTATTATTTTGATGTATGTTCTATGTTGATATGGTTTCGATTTGTCTCCCCGCCCAAACCTCATGTCAAATTGGAGGAAGTGGTGGTGGGAGGTGATTGGATAATGGGGGTGAATTTTCCGCTTGCCATTCTCCTGATAGTGAGTGAGTTCTCATGAGATCAGATGGTTTAAAGGTGTGTGGCACTTCCCCCTTCACTTGCTCTCTCTCTCCTGCTGAGCCATGGTAAGAAATGCTTGCTTCCCCTTCATCTTCCACCATGATTGTAAGTTTCCTATGGCCTCCTAGTAATGCTTCCTGTACAGCCTGTGTTAACTGTGAGTCAATTAAACCTCTTCTCTTCATAAATTACCCAGTCTCATTTGTTGAGGGTTTTTATTATGAAAGGATGCTGAATTTTATCAAATGCGTTTTTCTGCTTCTATTGAAATGGTCATGTTGTTTTTGTTTTTAATTCTGTTAATATGGTGAATCACATTTATTGATTCAGGTATGTTGTACCATGCTTCCATCTCTTGTGTAAAAACCACTTGGTCATGGTGTATTACCATTTAGTTCTGCTTCTTTTAGCTGTGTTGTTGGATTTGGTTTGCTAGTATTTTATTGAGGGTTTTTGTATCTATGTTCATTGGGGATATTGGCCTGTAGTTTTCCTTTTTTAGTTGTGTGCTTGTCTGTCTTCGGAATTCAGGAAATACTGGCCTTGTAGAAGGAGTTAGGGATTATTCCTTCATTTTAGATACTTTGAAAGAGTTTTAGGAGGATTGGTACCAGTTCTTCTATGCATGTCTGGTAGAATTCGTCCGTGAATTTATCTAGTCCCAGGATTTTTTTGTGTGTGTCGCGAGATTGTTTTTAATTATTACTGATTAAATCTTACAGCTTATTATTGGTCTGTCCAGCA
Source organism: Homo sapiens (assembly GCF_000001405.40). Classification (NCBI taxonomy): domain Eukaryota; kingdom Metazoa; phylum Chordata; class Mammalia; order Primates; family Hominidae; genus Homo; species Homo sapiens. The sequence continues at coordinate 86,633,408 of NC_000023.11, read as the reverse complement.
TTTCTTCCTTGTTCAATATTTGGAGGTTGTATATTTACAAGAATTTATCCAATTTCTCTGTTTTTTAATTTGCGAGTGTATTATATTCCTTCATAGTAGTCTCTAACGATCTTTTGTATCTCTGTGGTACCATTAGTAATGTCTCTTTTTCATTTTTAATTATGTTTATTTGGATCTTCTCTCTTCTTAGTTTGTCCAACTAGAGCTTTATCCATTTTGTTTATCTTTCAAATAACCAACATTTCATTTCCTTTATCATTTGTATTTTTTTGGTCTTTATTTCATTTAGTTCACTCTAATCTCTGTTTTTGTTTGTTTTGTTTGTTTGTTTGTTTGTTTTGGCTAGCTTTGGGTTGGGAGTTTGGTTTGCTCTTCTTTTTCTAGTTTCTTGAGGTGCAACATTTGGTTATTAATTTGTGATTTTTTTTTTGATGTAGGAATTTAACTCTATAAATTTCTCTCTTAGCAGTGCCTTTGCTGTATCCTATAGGTTTTAGTATATTGCATCTTCATTTTTGTTTTAGAAAAGTTTTTAATTTCCATCATAATTTTGTCATTGACCCAAAGAACTCTCAGGAGCATTTTGTTTAATTTCCAGGTATATGTATAGCTTCTAGAATTCCTCTTGGTGTTGATTTCTAGTTTTCTCTGAGGTCTGAGAAAATACTTGATATGATTTCAATTTTAAACAATTTATTGAGGCTATCTTTAATTCATTGTGAGTTGAGTTTTGTGTTTGCTGAAAGGTCCAACTTCATTCTCTGAAGTGAATACCAAGTTTTCCCACCATGTATTGGAGGGACTACCTTGTCCCCATTGTGTATTCTTTCTACATCCTCTTCTTAACTTAGAATTCAACATAATAGTTTGAAAAATAACCCGTGTGTGTGTGTGTGTGTGTGTGTGTGTGTGTGCATGTGTATGACTGTTATAATTGTTGGCATGTATATTAGGTCCAACTTGAGGCTTAGAATGTTGAGAGAAGTTCTTAAGTGTTACGATAACTTTAATAAACATCTAAATCAATCCCTCCATTTTATAAATGCAAAACTCTAAGTCTAGAGTGGAAAAGTGAAGCAGGGGCTAAAGATAACGCAGTCAGTCAGTGGTAGAGTTATAAAGTCCACACAAAATGGAAAACTTCATATAATTGGATGGCGTTCCATGCCAAATGGAGGTAATGAAGCCTTTTTGCCTGAGTGCTTTCTTTACTAATACCAAAATTCATAATCTTGATTTGAACTTATTTAAAACTCTCTAAAATGGATTCGCAGAGATACTTTATATGTCACTGACCAGAATAAAGGAGAAATTGCATCATATAACTTTTCTGGACTTCAGTTTATTCATGTGCAAAATGGAATTCAGCCAGATTGTCCTTAAGGTCCTTTATGAAGCAATGATTCTGTCTAGATTTGCTTTGTACTAGATAGTTTTCTGAAATTGTTTTTTTAATCATTCATGCATGCTCTAAAACAAAGTTTATCCTGTACTCCTTTCTCACTAGTAAGCAAGGATTTGATTTACAACTTTATGTGATCTACAGTCCTTAAACTACCAGTGTGTGAAAAAAAAATGATGGCTTGCAATACAATTTACAAGGAAAAGAACCAAAAAAGTTTGGTAACTTTGGGTTCCTACAGTGATGTGAACTATGTCCTTCCCATCATATTAGTTTGAAATGTTTTCTGTCAATACTGTGAGCAAGTAAATTAACCAAGGGAGAACTATGAGTAATCAAATCTTGAGGTTTACAATTAACTAAATGTAATGGTGAGTCAGTTCACTGAAATATGGTTTTATATTTTAAAAATAACACAATTAAATTAACAGTCAAGGCATTGCAAATGATAATATCCCTCCAAAAATGAAAAGCAGTTTAGATCTGCCATATTATTTCAGTCTATCTGTCAAGTACCATGTGTTAGCTTGCTTGTTATTGCAATCAAAGCTGCTTTGGGTCATATATGATGTATCAAAATGTTATTAATAAAACAGCTGGTGGTATGAAATGTTAATGTTATATATCACATTGAATCTACTGGAAACAATTTAGAAATTCTCTACAAATCAACTGGGAAGATGCAAATCTTTCCAAATAGAGGTAGTATTTGGGTTTATTTTCAGTAGATGCCTAGGCTCTGAATCCTACTCAGAAAAATACTGGAGACTGAAAGAGCAAAGAAACCACATGAAGGTAGTTATAGGCTAAACAAATGAAGAACAAAAATTCCGGTGGTTCTTAAGTATCACCATTCATGGATAGACAAAAGATTAAAATTTAGTTCAATTCTTTGGCTGTGAGGGAAAAGTTGACAAAATACAGCTTTGGAAGGATCTCAAAATATTCAAGAGGAGCTGCATTTTGCTACACGTCAGTGAATGTGATGTGAGCACTAGAAGTTGACTATATTTTGCAAATATCTGTTGAGTTACAGATAGATATTAAGAGAGAATACACTCAATCTGTGCTAAAGTTCCACTTGCCTCACCAAAACAACAGTTGGAGGATGCACAATCAGGCAGTGAATTTGCAGTTACCTTTCTGAAAATGCATAACAGGCACTTCAGGTGTCTGTAATCCAAGCTACTCTGGAGGCTGAGGCAGGAGAATCGCTTAAACCCAGGAGGCGGAAGTTGCAGTGAGCTGAGATCACGCCACTGCACTCCAGCCTGGGCGACAGAGCAAGACTCAGTTAAAAAAAAAAAAAGTTTAATAAGCTCTTCAGACACTCCTATTACATCTATTGTTAAAAGATTAAAAGCAAAAGAGAAGCACTATACAGAACCTGTCTTATATCAACTTTTTCCAAACTACTTTTCATTTGACTACTTGTTCCACAAAATGTTAAAAGAGCATCTATTTAAAAATGGAGAAATTGGGTGAGAAACTTCCCAGGCCAAATTAGGTAACAATGAGTTAATAAAAACCTTACCTAGCACTTATCATATGCCACAAGCTCTCTCTCGTTCATATATATATATGTGTGTATATATATATGTGTATATATATGTGTATATGTATGTGTGTATATATATATATATAATTCAAAGCAACCTTAAGAGGGTAATAACATTACTATTTCCATTTCTCAGATCGGTAAACCAAGACAGAAACTGAATAACTTGTCTAATGTCATACAGCTAATAAATCTTGAAATTGGGGTTTAAACCCAGGTACTCCAGGTTTTTTTAATGGCAGTTTTTTCAAAGCTTTACACATGTAATATTTTAATGAATTTCCAAAAGAGGCATAAAATGGAATACCTATTATTTGAGCTAAAGATACTAAAACTCTGTAGAACACAGTTTGAGAAATGCTGCACTAAATCTATTTCTTTTAACAAAGGATATAAGCTCAACTTCATCTGCCTGGATACTATTATTTTCTGAATTTGAATTTAAGCTGTATATTGATATCAGGATTTCTTAAAATTTATATAAAGTTCATCTGTTCTCTCATTGGGTAATCATGAGTTATACTTGTCTGTTGGTAATTTATTTTTATCATTTATCATTATTATTATTATTTTTGAGACAGGGTCTCGCTCTGTTGCTCAGGCTGGAGTGCAGTGGCACAATCACAGTTCAACCTCAACCACCCCAGACTCAATGGATCCTCCCACCTCAGCCTCCTGAGACTACAGGCATGTGACACTAAGCCTGGCTAATTTTTTTTTTTTTATTCTGCAGAGATAGGGTTTCACCATATTGCTCAGGCTGGTCTTGAACTTCTGAGCTCAAGTGATCCAACCACCTCAGTTTCCCAAAGTGCTAAGATTAGAGGCATGAGCCACCGAACCCAGCCCACTGGTGATATTTTAAATTTTAAATGTTTCCTCTTTTTATACATTATAATTAAGAGAATTATTAATTGTCTTTCTGGTACCACTGAATAGACAATCTTCTTGTTTAAGAAAATTTGAGCCATAAGAATTATTAATACTATATACAAATTCCAGTAAGTTGCACTCTGCCCTAGGGTGACTTATTTGAGCATTTTTATAGAGTATTACTGGATGTTTCAAGATCATTTTTAAGGAATTTCCAGCCCTGACTTGCCACAGGACTATGATATCTAAATCAGAATACCAGAAGTGGTATGACCAGCAAATACCATTGTGACTCTAGGAGAGAGTGTGCATTAGATATGGACTAGAGGCGACAAAACACTCCTAATTTCTGACATTGGGCCAAGAGTGACTCTTTCCATGCCTAGTTAGCCCAGAAATGCAGGAAGACTACCTGAAATGCTGGGAACGCAAGAAAACTAGCAGCAACACATAGTCCTGTTTTTTAGAAAGGCAGTTCTGTCTGTGTAGAAAACCAGCAATACTTGGCAAAATACAGTACAATAAATTTCTCTCTATAAGTAGAATAAATGGGAAATTAACCTCAAATTCAATAATATATTTTAGTCTAAAATTAAATTGTAGTGCTAACTTCTGTGTAGCAGCTAATGAAAATTCAAATGTGTTTTGTACTTGTTAAAAGATATCAAACTGCCAGTAGGAGAATATTAAATCTCAATAATGAACCACTTTCCAGAAAGGTAATTGGCTTCCTAAAGATCACTTCTCTTGTGGCTTTTCAGTAGCCAGTCTTCCCTTGGATATACCACATAAATGCCAGATAATCAACAGTGCAATCAATTCTCCACTCTTCAGAATAGTGATTCTCAACCAGTGTCATGCTCTGTTGCTGCAGAGAGCAACTACTATGATTCTTTGTTGTTTTTATTCAACATTGTGATATTTTGTGTTTTAAATATGTGTATACTACTTAAATGAAGGACAAAGAATCCAGCAATACATCCAGAAATGTTAATTGGTCTAAAAAGCTGCATTTTTAATGTTGCTTGCAACATATTTATGATAATTAAACGTGTAATTCATAACATCAAGAAAGACCTGAGAAAACAGCGAGGATAGTGTTTGTCTAGCCCGAATTATGATGTAAAGAATACTGACTGAGGAATCATAAAGTCTGGATATTAAAACTGCATTTATCTATAGCTACCTGTATGCCTATCTGAGTCACTTTATCTTAAGAATCAATGTTCATGTCTTTAAAATGAGGTTCAATCCACTGCTAAACTTCAGAGAATCTAAGTGGAATGAAATACTTCCAAAATAACCAAAATGAACTAATCATTTATTAATTTTATATGTTAAAAATGTCACCCTTACCAAGGCTGTAAGGTGCTTACTACCATAAACTAGAAATGTATTATTCTTATCTTTTGTATTCCCTGTTGCCTGACACAGTAGTGAGTCCATGGTGATGCCCAGGAAATGACTGCAGAATAACAAAATGCATGTTCAGAAGGGACAACAGCAGGAGGAGGAAAAAGGGCTATTAGCCCAATGCTGGTAGGTAAGTATGCTTCTCTAGAAGCGGTCTACTTTACGTTCTCTTCACAATCACATTCTGCCTGACTATCCTGTTAAGACATAACAACAAAAGTGAGAAGTGCACAGGGACAAAGATGGTTCACTCAAACACTGAAAGTGTTTGCCTTTGTTTTACTCTTTGACTGTCTGATGGTTTCATTCTTTATCATCAGTTTATGCTTATATTTACTGAAGCCAAATACATCAAGCATCTGTTTTAGAAAGCAAAGCAATATGATATAGTGAACACAATTATGTGAAAACTTTGTGACAGAACTTGTCATTCTCAATTTAATGAGTACATAAAATTAAATATAGATGTATTGATATAAATGTATGAATAGACTTGTAATCACATTTCAGAGGTTTGCATTTGAATAATATGTAAAGAAATGTGAATCCTAATTGCTTATAATCTACCACTTTTAAGAGACTGATTCTCAACCTCCAGAAACAAGAGATTTAGACAGTACCTAAATTAAGCTTATTATAACAATAATATTTAATTATATATCCACATGTTTTGAGATACAAATATCAAAAACTATGTTTCTATTAACTATCGGAATGTATAGTTATTGTACTAGAAGCTACCTGAAACAACCAACAACAACATGAACAATTGTTATGTGACAAGAAAAGATGGATATCATATAAATAGATACAATAAAACCTAGGCTAAGGCGGTCTCAGATGGAGATGAGAAACTTATTAAAAACTAGAATAAAGGTGACTCTTGCTATACTTTAGCAAAGAAACTGGCAGTATTTTGCCACTGCCCTACAGATCTGTGGAACATTGAAGTTGAAATAGATGATTTAGGGTATCTGGAGGAAGAAATTTTGAAGCAGCAAAGCATTCAAGATATGACTTGGGTGCTCTTAAAGGCATTCAGTTTTATGTATTCACAAGGATATGTTTGGAATTGGAACTTATGTTCAAAAGAGAAGCAGAGCATAAAAGTTTAACAAAATTGCAGCCTGATGATGTGATAGAAAGAAAAAAACACTTTCTGAGAGAAATTCAAGCCAGCTGCGGAAATTTGCATAAGTAAGAAGGAGGCAAATGTAAATCACCAAGATAATGGGAAAAATGTCTCCAGGACATGTCAGAGGTCTTCCCAGCAGCCCCTCCCATCACAAGCCAGGAGGCCTAGCAGGTTAAAATGGTTTCCTGGGCAGGGCCCAGGGCCTTCCTGCTTTGTGCACTCTTCAGACTTGGTGCCCTGCATCTCAGCTATGACTAAAAGTGACCAACATACAGCTCAGGCTGTTGCTTCAGAAGATGCAAGCCCCAAGCCTTTGTGGCTTCCACATGATGTTAAGCCTCTGGGTGCCCAGAAGTCAAGAACTGAGGTTTGGGAACCTCCACCTAGATTTCAGAGGATGTACAGAAGCTCCTGGATGTCTAGACAGAAGCTTGCTGCAGGGGCAGGGCTCTCATGGAGAACATGTACTACTAGGGCAGTGCAGAAGGGAAATGGGGGGTGGGATCCCCCACACAGAGTCCCCACCAGTGCACTGCCCAGTGGAACACTGAGCAGAGAGCCACTGTCCTCCAGTCTCCAGAATAGTAGTTCCACTGACAGCTTGCACCATGTGCCTGGAAAAGCCACAGACACTCAACACCAGCCCATGAAAGTAGCCAGGAGTGGGGCTATACCCTGTGAGCCACAGGGGTGGAGCTGCCCAAGATCATGGGAACCCACCTCTTGCATCAGCATGACCTGGATATGAAACATCAAGTCAAAGGAGATCATTTAAGAGCTTTAAGATTTGATTGCCCTGCTGGATTTCAGACTTGCAAAAGGCTTGTAGCCTCTTTGATTTGGCCAATTTCTCCCATTTGGAATGTGTGTTTTACCCAATTCCTGTACCTCCATTGTATGTAGCAAGTAACTAACTTGCTTTTGATTTTACAGGTTCATAGGTGGAAGGGACTTGCCTTGTCTCAGATGAGACTTTGGACTGTGGACTTTTAAGTTAATGTAGAAATGAGTCAAGACTTTGGGGGACTGTTGGGCAGACATAATTGGTATTGAAATGTGAGGACATGAGATTTGGGAGGGACTAGGGGTGGAATAATATGGTTTGGCTGTGTCCCCACTGAAATCCCATCTTGAATTGTAGCTCCCATAATCCCCACATGTCATGGGGAAGACCTGGTGGGAGGTAATTGAATCAATGGGGTGGGGTTTTCCCATGCTGTTCTCGTGATAGTGAATAAGTCTTACGAGATCTGATGGTTTTACAAAGGGGAGCTCCCCTACACAAACTCTCTCTTGCTTGCTGCCATGTAAGAGGTGACTTTGCTCCTAATTTGCCTTCTTCCATAATGGTGAGGCCTCCCTAGCCATGTGGAACTGTGAGTCAATTAAACCTCTTTCCTTTATAAATTAGCCAGTCTTGGGTATGTCTTTATTAACAGCATCAGAAGAGACTAATACAGTGGGGTTTAGGGTATTGCCTCTAACACTAAGAAAATATACAATAGGCATAATTTTCTCCTAAAATTTCTGTGGAGCATATTACTATCAGTTAGGACACTCAAATGACATGTTTGAATTACACACATACAGTATTTCATAATGGCTCAGTAGAAAAATAGGTGCAAAGGAAAATTCTGATACCAACTCATCCTGCTCAAAAGTGTCATTATCTGATATATGCAAGGTAGTTCTTGGTTAATAGAAAAATACTTCTCCATTAAATAATTTATGCCAGGTTATTAATAGAGGAAAGAGAAACCCACCCCTAACACACACACACACACACACACACACACACACACACACACACACACACACTAAGAAGGTTTTTGTATAGAGATATGGGATAGTTGAATGATTTGTAAGGTAGAATATTCTTTCTGGTTTCCTGAATTCTGTCACAGTCCTATTAACAATAAATTCCAAAAGAGATACAAACCATTTTTCTGTTTGGAACCAATATCTTGAGGTTGCTAACGGGCATACTAACTCAAATGGGTCAAATTAAACAGAATCCATAAAGAAATTTATCTTTCTCCTACCTTTTTTTTCAGTCAGAATTTGAAACATTTTTGTAATAATATGTCTGACCTTAAAACTGCTATGCTAGAGATAAGCAAACATACACAGCTGGGAGGTAGATGAGGATGGGTTGGCCCAGCACAATGCTAGTAACACTATACCATCTTGGTGATGAGAAAAGGCACTCCATCTTTTGTAGCTTTGAGAATTTCCATGGGTATTTTTGCCATGAATATGACCGTATATGTTCAGAACCAATAAAATGAGAACAGAAACATCACCCTAGATAATAGTTTACTAAACTATGTTCTGTTTACTCCCTTTCATTTCAATGATTTCTTCCTTTTCCCATTTTGTCCTCCTAGATCTTGGATATTGTTGGAAGACTGTGTTTCCTGAAAGACTGTGGTAACTTCTTAACTTGTTCAAACAGATTGGCATAAATCATGAGCTTTCCAAAGTCAAAGGTATAATTTCCAGGTGATCTATACCACCATTCCTTCTGTTTGTGATCCTAATAATGAACCCCTTTCAACTTTTTGTCAAATTATACTTTCTCTTAACCAGTTATTACTCTCTTCTTTTTGCTTTTAAGAAACACAGAATCTTAGTATAGTTTATGTGCCATTTTTTTAAATTGCCATGTACCTCATGTAAGATAAACACATTTTTTAAAAAAGCAATATGATCTGCTTGGTTGCAATTGAATCGGAAGCATAGGAATGTTAGAAAGTTCTACATGAACTGATAGGAATGTATAGATAAAGTACACTTTATTTTTTAGTTTGAAATCCTGCTACTAGTAATTTCAAACACATTTATTTTCCAAAGCAGGTTTAAATAGCATTACTTCAGAGTTATACATTGTAAGTCTAAAGGAGATTTATTGACTCTATAAAAAGAAATATGAACTGCACAGCCACTTTTTTTTTTTTTTTTTTTTTTGTTTTGTTTTTTTGAGACGGAGTTTCGCTCTGTCGCCCAGGCTGGAGTGCAGTGGCGCGATCTCGACTCACTGCAAGCTCCGCCTCCCGGGTTCACGCCATTCTCCTGCCTCAGCCTCCTGTGTAGCTGGGACTACAGGCACGCGCCACCATGCCCGGCTAATTTTTGTATTTTTAGTAGAGACGGGGTTTCACCGTGTTAGCCAGGATGGTCTCGATCTCCTGACCTCGTGATCCGCCCGTCTCGGCCTCCCAAAGTGCTGGGATTACAGGCGTGAGCCACCGCGCCCGGCCGCCACTTTTTAATAGGTCTGTATTCTTTCTCAGCTAGACTACTTGAAGAACTTCCTGAGTGATCTCTCTGCCTCTAACTCTTTGCCTTTCCAGTCTATGTTATATTCTCTTAATAGTGACATTCTTGTAAAGAGGAGTATCTTCACATTGCTCACCTACAAAAAAGTGTTTTGTGGTTTGATACTTCCTGTAGAATAAAGTTCAAAACTTTTAATATGGGAGTTACAATCTCCAATAATCTATCCCCACCCATCTTCAGACAGAGCTCCTTTTTTTTCCATCACAAACCCACTATTCTAGCTAGACTGAACCCTCTGTTTCCCAAAAAAACTTGGTATTAATATTTGCTTGTGTTCAGACCATTGCCACTTTCCCCTGAAATGCTTTTATCCCTGTTTTGCCAACTGCAACTTAACCAATCTTTAAGGCACAAATTAAATGCCATCAACACCAAATATTTTCTTTAATTCCCACAACTGTTAATAATTATTCTCATCTTTGAATGTCCCTATATCACATAGACATATTTACACAAACATATGTATGCTTATAAATATGGGTTTTTTGCCTTTTATTATAATTATGTCTACACATAGGTCTCATTTTCTCAACTCAGAGAAAGGCTGTGAAGTCTGCTATAGGTCATTGACTATGTCTTACTCAGCTTTGTACTCACAGTATGACCTAGAGAGGTCTTTCCCAGGTGGGCAGTACTTGATAAATACCTGCCTAATGAATTTACCATTTAATAAAATAGATTTAGTAAAGGTGATATAAAGATCTTCAATAGTTAGAATGTAGTCATACACATGTGTTAATAGTACTCACAAACATACCTTCACTGCCATCAAACACCAGTTTTTTTTCTTTTTAATTCAACTGTAATCATCATGTGTTGTCATGTCTCTTGTGTCTTTAATATATCATGAAAATTTCCCTATAGTTTGATTAATCTATGACAAGAAGAATGAAAAATGCATGATCCTTTCTAGAGATATTAAGACATTTTAAACAAAGTTTTTAAGCAAAATATCTAGGTTAAAAGAAATATTTTCTCCTGATTGATCATGGAGTAACTATGAATGGTAAGGAGAAAATTATATTACTAATGAGCAACTATCTGTTATCAAATTACAAGGCATTTTCATCAAAAGACCTAAAAAGGCAGAAGACTGACCATTTAACATATTTCCACTGACCTGAGGGGATTTTTTTTCAGTTAATAGCTTGTGAAGAATGCTTCCTTTTGATTCTTGTCTCTTACACAAAAATGATTGTCCCATTTAACCAGTCTTCTATCACATATGTCAGAGAATCTTATTTACTCACACACTATTGGAACATTAAAACACAATAGAGTGACTGTCTCTAGAAGAAAAAAATTGAAGATTGACTTCCTTTTTACCCCAAAAGAAGGCTGAGATCAAAAGCTAACTCTAGTAGATGTTTGACTAAGGTGATAGTCCTAGGAAAAGAAACACTGAAAATGAAATAAAATAAATAAATAGGTTTGACTTTTGATCTCAGCAAAATTCACTTGGCATTGTTTAGCTTTTATAATACTTTAGTTTTAGGTGATATTGTGGCTGAAAGGAATTGTCTTTTTTTTCTTGAGGTTTTAATAGCTATGTATTACTTTGGCATTTAGCAAAGTTTAGTAAAGCAGATCCCTGTTTTCTAAACTGGTATTGCAGTATTAGTTGTAAACAAGTTTTTTTCATTCATAAATACCACTATTATATGATATACACACTAGATTTTCCAAAAATATGAAAGGGAGCTGAAAAACTAATTCCTATGAAACGTTCTTGAAAGAAAATCAGCACTGAAGTCACTAAATTTGTAAATGGCAAAGAGCCTTCTTAATTTTAAGCTACATTATTTTGAATGTACATTTTCCATGAACTAAAACAACAGTTTGCTACTTTAGGTCATCACTGGACAGAGCCAATGTAAGAGAAAAAATGAGAACTATTATTGGACACCCACTGCTGTATGTCAAGCACTGTTTCAAAACTTCAAATACATGATCTTATTTGATCTTCAAAACAACTCTATGAAAATGCAAGAACTATTATGCCAATTATACAGATGAGGAAAGCAAAGGCAAGAGAGACTGACTAGCATGTGCAAGATCACATGGTGAATAAGTAATAAGGCAGAGAATTGAACAAAGCTTTAATCTAACTCGAAAGTTCTATTCTTCTTTTTTTTTTATTATTAAAATTCTGGAACCAAAAAAGTTCTTTTATAGTTCCATGAATTAAATCATTATCAAAACTAGAGCAATAAATTAGTTAGGCTTATATAATCCAGTATGAGGGACTGAGATATAGGGGAAGAGTTATACCACTTAATTTATCAAGCACTTGTCTGGATAATTCATGCCTCCCCAAATTATGTTTTGTCTAATGTTTACAAATTACCACTGTGAAAGTTTAGGGTATTGTGTCTTATTTCTTCAATGATCCTAATAACTGTCTCACTGTGCCACTTTTCTTTGCAGGTGCAAGCTGTCTCTAAGTATCTACATCTTGTAATGATTTGAAAAAAATTAGAACTAGAGCTTTCTAGAAGACACCTTCTCATATATTATCAAAAGACTTTACTCAATGTATTTTTAAATACAAATGATCACCACAAAGCTCAGTGATCCTAATGAGAAACTGGAGTTTCCAAATTAATAGATTAATAAATGTTTTTAGAAGAAAATGGAAAAAGCCCAAAGGAATTATTAAAAGTAGTAGTCTTTTCTTAACATATTTTAAATATTTCAACTGTATTAAAAGACAGACCCATAATTCTTATGTCACACTAGCTTCTAAAAAGAGGGATGTCAATCACAAAGATTAAGGACTCTCTATACTGAAAACAGAGAACTTCCCAGAAGCAGAGATCCTCTCGAATCTACTTGTCTTTGAAAAACACGGGGTAGATTAATATATCCTCTTTCTCTCCTTTTTTTTTTTTGTTTTATTTGCTTGTCAAAAGATTATTTAGTGGCATTTATTCCCCTCCTGCACTGCTCCCACTACTCAGTCCCCAGCTCTCAGCCCTTCCACAGTCTCTCAATCACAAACAAAAGGCACAATGGAGAAACTAATAAAAGAACTATGTTACTGTTCTCTGGAATAAATCAAAATTTATATGTCCTAAGGATAGAAGGCTCAGATTAAAATATGTTTGAGACTCAGAGGATTTACAATATGTTTGGCATTCCAGTTTCAGAGAGAAAATGGACCAATATGTTAGGGGAATACTGAGGATATTTTAGCAGTTATCGTCTCTCATGCTTTTCTTCATGAGTGTCAGTGTGAGAAAGCCAGGGAAAGCTGCTGTCCGTGATAACCACGGAAAAGGAAAAAATATTCCCCATGTTTCAAAACCAATTCCCCGACTCTAGTCCTAAAGTGATGGGGAACTAAGCACAACTGAGAGCCTCAGCAGTTTGTTACCTGATATAAAGAGAAGATACCATCCTAGTTCACGGCCTTTTTCTATGTACAACTTTAAGGCAACTAACTTCTCCACTTTAAAAGTTATGGCCATAAAGGACTAGTTAACAGTTCACTGGAACCACCTTGCCTTTACTACCAACAGTAACAAAGTATTTCAGTAACTTAAGGCCTAAATAAAATAAAAGTTAGCCACTTTAAATAATACTGTGGATATTTGTAATAGAATAAGTTTGAAAAGGCATCCTTCAAACAGTCATGGCTAGGTTTCCCATCTCAATCAGGGTTAATTTAAAGTTTGCAATCTAGGTAGAGAAGTCACTGAATTAAAAAGAAACATATTTTAAGTTTGCTGTAATTTTTTTCCCAGGAAAAATTGGCATCTACCTAACAACTGCATTGTAGTCTCTTCGTGTATAATGGCTTTGTAGTGTAAGCATTTAATGTTTGCCTATATAGCACAACTCTAAGCATTTTCATTTCTTAAATGTCATTAAATTATCAGAGTGATTGTAATGCAACATTTCATGGTACAGTAACTAGATGAAATGCCATATTATCTGCCCCAAGAACAACTGATAGTGCCCCTTCCTGTTCATTCAGCAATTCACTTGCACAGTTTGCGTGGGAAAAAGATGATAGGTCAGTATTATGCAGTATCTGTAATTCTAAGGACCATGGTTTATTTAATAGCACTGTCAGTCAAGATCTATGGCTTGAAGAAATCTCAAGAGTTCATTGTTAATGCCACAGAGTTCATAGGACAATTTTCAGAATAGTTACTTCCTTATAAATAGAAAAATCTTGGGGTCAATAAATTGGTATATGTTACACTACATTAAAATCATTTCTGCTATATCCGCTCTTGTCCCTACTTATGTCATTAAAAAATTCACATGAGAATATTAGCCTTGATTTGTTTTTTCTGGCTTCAGGAATACTGGGTTAAAGGTTTTTTTAGTTGCAAGAAAGAAGAAAATAAAGAAGATAAAATATTACATAGGGCAGCTGCCCAAGTCTAAACCATAGATATTCAACTACAGTAGACATGGCTTTTTCAAAGGTAATTTTTACATAGAGTTATTTTGTGCCTTTATGTGGTAGGGTTGTGGGAAGACCTACTCAAACAGGCATTTGAATATTTCATCTTCTCTCTTATTTACAAAAATAATTATAGGATCTTGGCTATAATTGATGATTAAATTTCTGTGCAAACATTGTTAAAAAATTCCAATTGGCAAAATTCATTTTAGACTAACAAGTGTATTTTCACAGAAAATTGCAAGTTGATATGAATAGCTGGACTATATGGGAGAAAATACATGAGATTTTGTGTTTAAAAAGCAAGACTATGGTGTTTAAAAAGCAAGAACTGAACCTAAGTCATGGTAAGAGCCAATTCTAGTGTGGTAGCCAATGTAGTTTATATAAATAAGCAAGTATAAATTCTTCTTCCTTCCCCAAATTCTCAAAACTTTCTATTTTAAAACTGAGTGCATTTTTAAGTAACCACAGTAGAATTGAGAGTTAGAAAAAAATAAGGCAATTGTAGGAAATCTAATGTAAAGCATAAAAAGATAAAACTACTCATGAAAAGTCTGTAACTCAAAACACTGTCTTTTAAATTTGCAAATTATCACATATATCTATTTGGTTATTTAAAACAATATTACGATAACTAAACAATTAATAATAGTTTACATCTATGTATAGATTCACATTTTATGTAAAACATATTTGTACATGTATCATTTAATTATCAAAAAATTTCTACAAAGTAGTACACTCTAGGCTTAGATTATGTCGATAAGTCTATATTATGAACACCTACTATGTATGATACATTTATCTATTTTATATTGCTATGATAACAAAGATTATAAGCAAAAACAACAAACATAGAAAGCTTTTTATAAAATTGTGACTCTTTCCATTCTTTTATTCATGATAAACAAACATATTATAGTATATTTTGCACTGAATCACCAAAATAATATTCATTGAGCTCATAAACTATATCTGGCAATATGATACTTTTGTTTTTGAAAATTAATTGAGATGGGGTCTTGACCCAGGCTGGAGTGCAGTGGCACAATCATAACTCACTGCAGCCTCGAACTCTTGGGCTCAAGTAATCTTCCCACTTCAGCCTCCCAAATAGCTGAGACCACAGATGCACAGCACCAGGTCTGGCTAAATATATGAGATAGTGTTTATCTGTGTAGCCCAGGCTGGTCCCAAACTCCTCGTCTCAAGCAATGCCCCCACCTCAGCCTCCCAACTACCCAGGATTACAGGCACAAGCCAGTATGCTCAGCTGATAGTTTCTTTAATATAAATTATTTCAGTCAATTCTCATCATAATCTTAAAAGAACTAAAAGTTGCTATCTCATTTTATAGGTAAAGAAAGTGAAACAAAGAAACATTAAATAGCTTATTCAGTTTGCTAAGTGATGGTGAAAACAGAATTCAATGCAAAGGCTTTCATTATAAACTAATGTTTTAATAAACCAGACTACTTCGGGTTACATTGCTCAAAATTGGATTTAAAAGTCAGAAAAACCCTTATTCTGCATTGATAATTCACATTTTATAGTACTTGTACTTGAAATTTTATTTGATGGTAGAAAGAGCAGTTTTTCTAATAATATTTTGTCAACATATGCATGCTTAACATGTACCACATGAAGGTTGATACAAATGTTACCAATATTTGTAAAAAAAAGAGAAGTGTTACCAATGTTTGCAGAAAATAAACTCTAGAAACAGTAACCAGTTACATAAAAAGAATAAAATACCTAGGAATACAGCTGAACAGAGAGGAGAAAGTTCAACGATGAGAATTACAAAACACTGCTAAAATAAATCAGAGAAGACACAAACAAATGGAAAAACATCTCGTGCTTGTAGCTAGAAAGAATCAACATCATTAAAATGGCCATACTGCCCAAAGAAATTTACAGACTCAATGCTATTCCTATCAAACTACCAATGATACTATTCATAGAAGTAGAAAAAAAAAACTATTTTAGAATTCGTATGGAACAACAACAACAAAAAAAAGAGCCTAAATAGCCAAGGCAATCCTAAGCAAAAAGAACAAAGTTGTAGGTGTCATACTACTCAACTTCAGACTATACTACAGGGCTACAATAACCAAAACAGCATGGTACTGGTACAAAAAATAGACACACAAACCAATGGAATAGAATAAAGAGCCCAGAAATAATGACATACACCTTCAACCATTTGATCTTCAACAAAGCAGTTTAAAACAATGGGGAAAGAACTCCCTATTGAATGATTGGTGCTGCGATAACTGGCTAGCCAAATGCAGAAGATCGAAATTGGACACCTTTCTCACACCATATACAGAAATCAACTCCAAGGTCAGTTAAAGAATTAAATGTAAAACCAAAAACTATAAAAACCGAAGAGGACAACCTAGGCAATACCATTGTGGACATAGAAATAGGCAAAGATTACATGACAAAGACACCAAAAGCGATTGCCACAAAAGCAAAACTTGACAAATGAAATGTAATTAAACTTAATATTTTCTACACAGTGAAAGAAACTACCAACAGAGTAAACAGGCATCCTATAGAATGAGAAAAAAATACAAATTATACATCTGACAAAGTTTTAATATGTAGCATCTATAAGGAACTTAAAGAAATTTACAAGTAAAAAGCAAGCAACCCCATTAAAAAGTGGGCAAAGGACATGAGCAGACACTTCAAAAGAAGACATACATCAGCCAAGAGGCATATGAAAAAATGCTCAGTATCACTCATCATTAAAGAAATGCAAATCAAAATCCCAATGAGATACAACCTTACACCAGTCAGAATGGCTATAACAAGTCAAAGAATAACAGATGTTGGTGAGCTTGTGGAGAAAAGGGAAAGCTTATACACTGTAGATGGGAGTGTGAAGTAGTTAAATCATTACGGAAAACAATGTGGCGATTCCTCAAAGATCTGAAAACAGAACTGCAGTTTGACCCAGCAATCCCAGTACTGGGTACATGCCCAAAGGAATATAAATCTTTCTACTATGAAGACACATGCATGTGAATGTTCATTACAGCATTATTCACAATAACAAAGACATGGAATAAACCTAAATGTCCATCAATGACAGATTGAATTAAAAAAATATGGTTCAGATACACCATGGAATATTATGCAGCTATAAACAAGAATGAGATCATGTGTTTTGGGGAACATGGATGGAGCTGGAGGCCATTATCCTTAGCAAACTAATGTAGAAACAGAACGAATACCATATATTCTCACTTATAAATGGGAGCTAAATGATGAGAACTCATGGACACAATGAGGGAGACAACAGACACTGTGGCCTAGTTGAGGGTAGAGTGTGGGAGGAGGGAGAGGATCAGAAAAAAAATAATTATTGGATACTATGCTTAGTACCTGGGTGATGAAATAATCTGTACAACTAACCCCCAGGACACAAGTTTACCTATATAACAAAACTGCACATGTACCCCTGAACCTGAAATAAAATAAAATAAAATAAATCAGTAGGCAGTTAAATGGCTGCTGTCACTCTATAAGGTCCATGTGGTATATAATACCGGTTACAGGATGAGGGGAGAGAAAGATTTACATTAAAATAGTGCTTTAGTTACTCCTTGGATGTATAATCTTGTGCAAATCTTCAGGGTTCTCACTTATAAAACAAAGTCAATTACTATACTTTACAAATTGTGGGGTTACTGTGCTGAGTAAGGCAGCTCAGGAAAATAAAACATAAATACACTGAGCAGTCAAAAATATGACAGAGTATTATTAGTATTATTAGTCGTGAACTATGAAGTCCAGTTCTGCCACCAGACCAAGGTGATCTGGAGACATATAAATCTGATTTCAAGTTTCAGCTCTATCACCTACTTTGACAAAGTCACTTTATCTGTCAGAACTTTAGTTCTCGCCTATGTAAAATGGGAGCAACAATATTCATTCACAGTGTTGTCATAATAATTAAACAACATGAAGACAAGGTAGTTGGACCCATAATAGGTTTGCATCTGCTAATTTCATCCCAGAAATGCTTGAAATGTCATTTCAAAGGGGAAAAGTTGAATTCCTTCATGAAACTCAAATCCACATTCTGATAGCAACAGAGCTTCTCTTTCTTCAGATGAAGAGATTCTCTTAGTCTGATTTGTCTTAAGATCTTTTCCAGAAAAGACTAATAAGAGTGGGTGACAACAGTCACTGATAGAGTGTTTTAGAAGATTTCAAGGTGATCTAACATTTTATGGACCTATTCACTTTGTTTCCTCACAAAGAAGGCTTTGTATAGAAAAAAAGATACAGAATTGTAAGGAATAGACAAATTCAAGAAACCTTGCTATTCTTTGCCAAATGATGGCCGAGATTTTGTATCAAAAACATAGAGAAAATCTTCTATAATTTTTCCTTATTTACATTCAACCATCCTAAAATGCCTTTTGGGATTACCCTGCTAGGTACAGCTCACCTTAAATGAGAGTATGAATTAACTCATTTTGCTGATGAGCACTGCTATCTTGAGCTGTATTCCCCTCAAAATTTTATGGAAAGCAGAATTTGTAGGACTTTCAACAACACTACCTGATCCCTCTGCTGTTACATAAATAGCAGTGGCCAGCTCTCCATTGTCAAATTAGATAAAATTAAATTGTCATCAAACTAAAAAATCTGTTGTGAAGGTGGTAAAAAAAGATACTGAACAGAATATCAAGGGACAAATGGGAAACTCTAAACTTTGATTTCCTCACCTGCAAAATGGGATAACATCTCCTCTTCAGATTTATTACAAGAGATATGAAGAATACTTTCACAAACATTAGACATATCCAAGAGAGTTATTTTTCTCAAGACCTTTTAAATGGTCACAATATTATATTTTTCTTAATTTTTTCTATTTCTTCAAGATCATTTTAATAATCCTCTACAAATCTGAGTATATTATTACAAATAAATTCTACTCCCCATTAACAAGCTTGCTTTTTGGAGGCAGAATATAAGATTTCCTAAACACTATCAAGTTCCACCTAAGATAATGAATCTTGACATAATTATAGTTCAAAAGTAATGAATACTCACTTATCCGTCTAGATAATATAGTCATTTTGTCAAGGTGCCTGTATAAAAATCAATAAAGAAAATGTTTTCTTCAGTAGATCAGGTATCTCACTTGAAAACAGATTTATTTAAGAAAATGATGACGTTACTGTGATGTAGTTTACCTTTGAGTAAGGTGCTCAACTATTTAACACAGTTAGTTCACTTTTAATATTTGAATATGTGCATGGTAATAAGTTTGTCAAAAAGGCTCTACATTAATTTATACCAAAGAGTATATTCTGTACTTTTCCTTTATGAAGTACATGAGAGTTACATAGAAATATGCTGAATAATATTTTATAAATTAGATCTTAAGTATGAAAGTAGAAGGAGCTACTCCATCTTCTAGAACAGACCATGTGACTGACTTATGCCATAGATCCTGAATTATTGATATGTATGCTTATATATTATGTTTTATAAGAAAAATCAAGAGATCATACTATCTGGCAAGAAGGCATCAATGATAGTACCTTATTCTCAGGAAACACCAGAACCTAGATAACCCCAAAATTAAACAAATTTTTTAATTATGAGGTTCTGCCAAGGTAGGCAAAACGAAGAACTGAAGATGATTTATTTTCTCAAAACCAAGAAGTTAACCACTGAGCAGCTTATGGTATACACCATTGGGAAGTCATTGCCCATATTTTTTCATTAACCAAAAAAATTTATAATTGGTTTTATAGTCTATAGTAACAGAATAGTAATTTAAAGAGGAATGTTATAAGGAATAAAGTTTTTTTTAATATAAGCATTGAAATAGAAAGGTGCCAGGAGCACTAGTCAGCACGGAGTAAAGGTAAACATAAGAGATATGCAGATGAAAAGGAAAAAGAAAGGTAAGAGTTAGAGAAACACAATCACTGACAGGAACTAGAAAGTTGAAAAAACTCTGAAGACCTTCCATCTAAGAGACACAGATATATTTTTTAACCAAAAATAAACTATAGATTTTTTTAAACAGAAAACTACTAAAAGTACAAAGCTGATAATTATAGGTGGGAGAGTTGCACAAAATATCTATATTAAGGATTAAAGAACTTGCAAAGCAGAAATATTTTATATAATAAACTATAAGCTGCTATTTATTCATGTTAACATGCATTTGACTTTGGATAGGAAAACCTAGATATTTAGCCAGAAAAACAACATGGCAAAACAAATTTCAATCAGTTTAAAAGATAAATTTCCTGATAGTAAGTATTCTGTAACTTTAAAAGCCTATTTCAAGTCCTAGAACAATAGGTTAAATATGATCTGGCTTTTAAAACTAGGTCATGAGGTGGGGCAAGATGACTCAATGGAAGTCTCCAACAATTGTCTTCCCTGTAGGAACACCAAATTTGACAACTATCTACACAAAAAGTACACTCATAAGAATCAAAAATCAGGTGAGCAATCACAAGACCTAGTTTTAACTTCATATGTTGAAATAGGCACTGTAGTGGGTAGGAAAGACAGTCTTGAATTGTCAACCCCACCTCTGCCCCATCCCCTGGCAGCAGCCACCTGGTGTGGAGAGAGAATCTATGTGCTGGCAGGAGGGAAAGCATAGCTATTATGGGAGTTTAGTGCTGCCAACACCAACACCCACAAAGAGAGCATTTAGATCAGCCCTAGCCAGAAGGGAATTTCCCATTTTAACATTCAAAAATTGACATTGGTAAGCCTTGACCCTGTAGGCTAAATTGCTCTGGGGTTCTGAATGAACTCAAAAGGCAGTTTAGGCCACAAGGACTGAAATTCTTATGTAGTTCCTAGTGCTGTGCTGAGCTTAGAGCCAGTGGACTAGGGAGGTACACAACCTGTGTGGGCCAGCTGAGGAAGTGCTTGCATGACCCTTTCCCCAATACCAGGTGGTGGAGCTTCAGCTCCAAGAGTACCATCCTTCTGCTTGAAGAGAGGAGAGAGAAGAGTAAAAAGGAATCTGTCTTGCAACAGAGCTGTGTATCAGCTCAGTCACGTAGGATAGGGTCCCAGACAGAGTGGCAAGGCCCCCCATTCCAGGCACTAATTCCTGGATGACATTTCTATACACAACCCGGGCAAGAAGGGAACCCACTACCTTGAAGGGAAGGACTCTGTCCTGGCAGTATTCATCACCTGTTGACTAAAAAAAACCTTTTAGAGAGGGGGCTGGGCAAGATGGCTGAATATAAGGATCCACCTATCATCCCCCTACCCACACACACACACACACACACACACACAGGAACAACAACTTCAACAACTGTCTTCACAAAAGAAGCACATTAATAAGAACCAAAAATAAGGTGAGAATTCAGAGTACCTGGTTTTAATGTCACATCACTGAAAGAGGCACTGAAGAGGGTAAGAAAGACAGTTTTTAATCACTGACACCACCGTTGCCCCATCCTGTGATAGCAGCACTGTGGTGTAGACAGAGAGTCTGTGGGCTTGGGAGAGAAACAGCATGGAGATTGTGAGACTTGGCATTGAATTTAGTGCTGCCCTGTCACAGCGGTAAGGAAAACCGGGCTGAATGCAACTGATGCCTGCCTACAGAGGGAGAATTTAGACCAACCCTAGCCAGAGGGAAATCTCCCTTCCCATCAGTCAGATCTTTAATTATGGCAAGCTTCATGATCATGGACTACAATTATCTGAGGCCCTAAACAAACTTGAAAGGAAGCCTAGGCCACAAGAACTGCAATCCTTAAGCAAGTCCTAGTGCAGAGCTGGGCTCAAAGCCAGTGGACTTAAGGGGCATGTAACCCACTGAGACAACAGCCCAGGTGGATAAGGGAGGGATTGTGCCACCTCTCTCCCAACCCCAGGTGGCACAGCTTGCAGCTCCAAAAGAGATCCCTTGCTCCTGCTTGAGAAAGGAAGAAGAGTAAAAAGGACTTTGTCTGGCATCTTGGATACATGCTCAGCCACTGTAGAACAGAACACAGGTTAGGGTTGTGAGGCAACCATTCCATGCCCTACCTCCCAAAAAACGTTTCTAGACATATCCTGAGCCAAAAGGAAACCAATTTCCTTAAAGGCAAGAGCTCAAACCTAACAGAACCCATCACCTGCTGAATAAAGAGACCTTGGGCCCTGAATAACCAGCAGTGATACCAAGGTAGTACACTGAGGGCCTTGGGTGAGACTCTGTAGTGTGCTGGCTTCAGGTGAGACCCAACATATTGCGAGCTGTGGTGACTACACTGAGAGACTCCTTCAGATTGAGAAAAGCAGAGGGAAAAGTAAAGGAAATTTTGTCTTGAACTATAGTCACCAGCTTAGCTACAGGGTGGGGGAGCACCAAGTGGGATCTTAGGGTTCCTGATTTGAGGACTTGGCCCTTGGACAGCATTTCTGGACCTGCCCTGGGCCAGAAGGGAGTCAACTTCCCTGAAGAATGAGTCCCAGGCCAAGTATTATTCACCAAAACTAACTTAAGAACCCTTGGCGACTAGGCATGGTGGCTCACACATGTAATCCCAGCAATTGTGAGGCTGAGGTGGGCAGATTGCTTGAGCTCAGGAGTTCAAGACCAGCCTGGGCAACATGGTGAAACTCCGTTTCTACAAAAAAACACAAAAATTAACTGAGCTTGGTCTGCACTTGGTGGCACAACCTGTAGTCCCAGCTACTCAGGAGGCTGAGGTGGAAGGATGGCTTGAGCCTGGCAGGTGGAGGTTGCAGTGAGCCAAGATTGAGCCACTGCACTCCAGCCTGGGTGACAGAGTGAGACCCTGTCGAAAGAAAAAGAAAGAAAGAAAGAAAGAAAGAAAGAAAAGAAAGAAAGAAAGAAAGAAAGAAAGAAAGAAAGAAAGAAAGAAAGAAAGAAAGAGGAAGGAAGGAAGGAAGGAGAAAGAAAGAGGAAGGAAGGAAGGAGAAAGAAAGAAAGAAAGAAACCTTTGGGTCTTAAGAGTACACTGTCATTATTCTGGCAGTACTATATACATGGGGCTGAGGTAGCTGTGGCCACAGGAAGAGGCAGCTTTGCCTTTGGAAATGGGAGGGAAGAATGGAAGAATGGGAAGGTCTGCTGCAGTATAGAACAGAACATCAGATAGACTTCTAAGGTTTTAGATTCTAGTCCCTAGCTAGTCCCTAGCTGCTGGATGGCACTTAGAACCTCCTCAAGGCCTAGGGGACCTCGTTGCCTTGAAGGGAAAAACACAGACTCGGCTGACTTTGCCAACTGCTGATTGTAAATTCCCAGGTCATTAAGTAAATATGGGTGGAAGCCAGGAAGTGGTTACACCAGGTCTTGGGTGAGACACAATGCTGTGCTGGCTTCAGTTATCATTCAGCACAGTCTTAAGGGGTTGGCCATAGGGCTGCTTTTGTCACTCCACCCCCAGTAATAGGTGGCTCAGAACAGACAAAGAGACTCTATTTTGTGGGGGAGAAGGTAAGGGAAAAGAACAAGAGTCTCAGTATGGTAATCCAGAGAACTCTCCCATATCTTGTCCAAAACTATCAGAAAGGTATCTCTATGAGTCCATAATAAACACAGCACTACTGGGCTTGAGGTTCCCATTAAAGCAGATAGAACTTAAATCACAAAGCCCAAGTCCTTTAGAATATCTGAAAGCCTTCCAAAAAAGAAAGAAGGTACAAACAAGACCAAACCATGAAGACAATAATAAATAATCAACTCTTTAATAACTAGACACAAACACCGACAAGTATAAAGATAATTCAGGAAAACATTAACTCACAAATTGAATTAAATAAGGCACAAGAGACCAATCCAGGAGAAATCAAGATATATGAACTTTCTGACAGAGAATTCAAAATAGTTGTATTGAAGAAACACAAAGAAATTCAAGATAACACAAAGAAGGAATTCAGAATTTTATCAGATAATTTAACACATGCATTGAAATAATTAAGCAAAAATTCTGGAGTGGAAAAATGCAACTGGCATAATGAAGAATATATCAGAGTCTTTAAAAGCAGAATTATCAAGAAGAAAAAACAATCTGTGAGCTTGACATCAGGCTACTTGAAAATACAGTCAGAAAAACAAAAGAAAAAAATAGTTTACAAAATGAAACATGCTTATAGGATCTATAAAATAGCCTCAAAAGGGCAAATCTAGGAGTTATTGGCATTAAAGAGGAGGTAGAGAAAGAGACAGAAGGAGAAAGTTTATTCAAAGGGACAATAACAGAGAACTTCCCAAACCAAAAGAAAGTTATCAGTATCCAAGCACAAGGATATTATAGAAAACTAAACAGATTTAACCCAAAAAAGACTACCACAAGGCATTTAATAATCAAACTTCCAAAGAACAAGGCTAAAGAAAGGATCCTAAAAGCAGCAGAAGAAAAGAAACCTACAACATACTATGGAGCTCCAATATGCCTGACAGCAAATTTTTAGTGGAAACCTTACAGAATAGGAGAGAATGCTATGGCATATTTAAAGTGCTGAAGGATAAAACCAAAACAAACAAACAAAAAACCCCACTTCTTCCCTGGAGTAATATATCTGGTGAAAATATTCTTTAAACATGAAGGAGAAATAATGACTATCCGAGACAAACAAAACCTGAGGGATTTCATCCACACCAGACGTGTTCTACAAGAAATGTTAAAGGGCATATTTCAATCAGAAAGAAAATAGATATTAAGGAGCAATAAGTAATAACCTGAAGGTACACAACTAACTGGTAATAATAAGTACACAGAAAAACACAGACTGTAATAACACTGTTAACTGTGGTATGTCAACTACTCTTATCCTAAGTAGAAAGACTAAACAATGAACCAATCAAAAACAATACCTAGTAATGGGATGGCTGGGTCAAATGGTATTTCTAGTTCTAGATCCCTGAGGAATCGCCACACTGAATTCCACAATGGTTGAACTAGTTTACAGTCCCACCAACAGTGTAAAAGTGTTCCTATTTCTCCACATGCTCTCCAGCACCTGTTGTTTCCTGACTTTTTAATGATTGCCATTCTAACTGGTGTGAGATGGTATCTCATTGTGGTTTTGATTTGCATTTCTCTGATGGCCAGTGATGGTGAGCATTTTTTCATGTGCTTTTTGGCTGCATAAATGTCTTCTTTTGAGAAGTGTCCATTACTGGGTATATACCCAAAGGACTATAAATCATGCTGCTATAAAGACACATGCACACGTATGTTTATTGTGGCATTATTCACAATAGCAAAGACTTGGAACCAACCCAAATGTCCAACAATGATAGACTGGATTAAGAAAATGTGGCACATATACACCATGGAATACTATGCAGCCATAAAAAATGATGAGTTCACGTCCTTTGTAGGGACATGGATGAAATTGGAAATCATCATTCTCAGTAAACTATCGCAAGAACAAAAAACCAAACACTGCATATTCTCACTTATAGGTGAGAATTGAACAATGAGAACACATGGACACAGGAAGGGGAACATCACACTCTGGGGACTGTTGTGGGGTGGGGGGAGGGGGGAGGGATAGCACTGGGAGATATACCTAATGCTAGATGACGAGTTAGTGGGTGCAGCGCACCAGCATGGCACATGTATACATATGTAACTAACCTGCACATTGTGAACATGTACCCTAAAACTTAAAGTATAATAATAATAATAATAAAAAACAATACCTAAAACAACTTTTCAAGATAATCAGACAGTACAATAAGATATAAATAGAAACAACAAAAAGATAAAAACTGGGGAAACAAAGTTAAGATGTGGAGTTTTATTAGTTTCTATTTTAGTTGTTTGTTTCTTTATTTATGCAAATGGTGTTAAGCTGTTATCACCTCATAATAATGGGTTATAAGATAGCATATATGTACCTCATGGTAAACTCAAACCAAAAAATATGACAACAAACACACAAAAATAAAAAGTAAGAAACTAAATCATGTTGCCAGAGAGAATTACCTTCAGTGACAAAACACAGGAAAAAGAGAAAGAAGCATGAAAAGACATCAAAACGCTCAGAAAACAAATAACAAAATGACAGAAATAAGTCCTCACTTATCAATAATAATGTTGGATGAAAATGGACTAAACAGTATAATCAAAAGACATAGAGTGATTGAAATAATAATAGAAAAGAACCATTGATCTGCTGCCTACAAGAAACACAATTCATCTATAAAGACACACACAGACTAAAAATAAAAAGATATCCCATGCTAATGGAAACCATAAAAAGCAAACATTGCTATACTTATATCACACTAAATAGATTTCAAGACAAGAACTATAAAAATAGACAAACGAGGTCACTATATGATGATAAAAGGCTCAATTCAGCAAGAGAATATAACAATTTTAAATATATATGCATCCAACAACAGAACACCCAGGTGTGAAAAGTAAATACTATTGGAGCTAAAGAGAGAAATAAACCCCAATAGAATAGTATCTGGAGACTTTAACACCCCACTTTCAGCATTGGACAGATCTTTCAGACAGAAAATCAACAAATAAACATCAGTTTTAATCTGCACTATAGAACAAATAGATCTAATCTATACTTATAGAACATTTTAGCCAACAGCAGCAGAATACACATTCTTTTGCTCAGCACATGGATCACTCTCAGGGAAAGACCAGACAACATGTTAGGTCACAAAACAAGCCTTAAAGCACTCAGAAAAAAATGTAATAATATCAAGTATCTTCTCTGGCCACAATAAAAGAAAACTAGAAATCAATAACAAGAGAAATTTTAGAAACTATACAAATACATGGAAAGTAAACAATATGCTCCTGAATGACCAGTGGGTCAATGAAAAAATTAATTGAAAAATTGAAAAAATTTCTTGAAACAAATGATAATGGAAACACAGCATACCAAAAACTATGGAATACAGAAAAGGCAATACTAAGAGGGAAGTTTACAGCTATAAGTACTTACATCAAAAAAAAAAACTTCAAATAAAAAATCTAACAATGTCTCATGTCTCATAAAAAACTAGAAAAGCAAGAGTAAGCAAAACCCAAAATTACTAGAAAAAAGATATAATAAAGATTAGAGCAGAAGAAGCATGCCCAGTTTAAGACACAAATATAGTCCCCTTAAGTTTCTTCTATTCTACAAGACGTGATTACCATTCAATAAAACATTATAAGACACACAGTAAAGCAAGGAAAACAAACCATTGCCAAGAAACAAAACAATAGAACCAGATTCAGAGATAATGTCAAAATCAAAAGTATCACATGGGGACCATAGTTAATATACTATAGATTCTATTGGAAAAGGTAAAAAACAGCATGAACAAAGGAGAATTTAAGCAGAGATGTAAACTAAAAGAAAGTATAAAATTAAAACAATAGTTTTTTAAAAAGACAAAGAAAAAATGAATGCCTGTGACATCAACAGACTCAATACAAACAAGAAACAGTGAACTTGAAGTAGATTAATAAAAACACCAAATTGAGTAAAAAAGACAAAAAAAGATTGAAAAAAGGAAAAAAAAAGCATCCAAGAACTGTGAGAAAAAGCATCCAAGAACTGTGAGAAAATATCAAAAGGCTTAACATATGCATAATTGGAATAAGAAAAACAAGAGAGAGCAAAAAGGGCTGAAAAAATTTTTTAAAAGAAAATGGCCAAAAATTATTTGAAGAGAAAATGGCCAAATGCTTACAAAATGAAGACTAAAACAAATTATTGAAGAAAACAAGAGGCTAAAAGTTATATTACGTATAAAAGAACAAAGATTTTTTTTAAATCAGACTTTTTATAGGAAACTATGCAAATGAAAAGAAATGGGTGACATCTTTATAGAAGTTAAAGAAAAAAAAATGTGCCAACTCAGAATTCCATACCCATAAATATATGCATTTCAGAAAAAAGGCAAAATAAAGAATTTGTTACACATGAACAAAAGCTAAGAGAACAAAGTACCAGCAGACCAGCACTAAAAGAAATGTTTTTTTAAAGGGGGGTTTCAGATAGAAACAATATGATACCAGACAGGAGTTTGCATGTAAACAAAGAAATGAAAAGAAACAGAAATAACTAAAATGAAAGTCCAATAATTTGATATTGCTGATGTAACAAATTGGAACAGACTAAACTGCTTGATTCAAATCAAATTACTGTTTCACAGTTTCTGTAGGCCAGCAGTCTAACACAGGACTCACTAGAATCATTGCATCAGAAGAGCCTTACTCAAGGTTCAGGGGAAGAATCCATTTATAAGGTCAGTCAGGTTATTATATGAATTAGGTTTTTATCACCTATAGGACTGAGATTCCATCCTTTTGTCTGGTTGTGAGCCAGTGATAGGATTTAGCTCTTAAAGGCTTTTTCTGAGTCCTCACAGACGGGCTCCTACATCTCAGAACCAATAACAACATATCCATATCTTTCTCATACATGTAATAGCTCTGACTTCCCCTTCTGAGTCACCACTTTCACTTTCCTCTTTCACTACATCCCTCTGACTGACACTTCTGCCTTCCTCATATGCTTTTAAGGACTCATGTGATTACATTGGGGCTACCTAGATGATCCAAGATAATCTTCCTATTTTAAGATCAGCTGGTAAGTCATTTTAATTACATCATCGAATCCCTCCAACAGAGGAAATAGATAAGTGTTTAAATCATTGGGAGATGGGAAGCATGGGGGAAATCTTTAGAATTTTGCCTACTATACAAGGCAAATATAAAATACATGTCTTCTAATATGCAAACACTCAAAATAATCTATGATCTAAATCAAAATGCTCACAATTTATTCAGATTTATAGCATATTCAAGAACATAATGTGACAAAGTAATATAGCAGAGCATCAAAGAGAGGAATTAAAAATATATTCTTGTAAGATTCTTACATTATACATGAAGGAGTACAACATTATTTAACAATAGACAGCATAAAAGTAAGATGTATAATATAAACCCCAGGGCAAACACTAAAATAATTTGGAAAGAGGTTTACTAAGTATATCTCTACCTAGTAGAGATAAAACATAATGATTATCTATACTCAATCCAAATGTACAAGAGAACAAGTAAACATAACATCAGTGATGATACAAAATTACTAAACAACATTATTTTAAAATTGACTTAAATCCTATTAATAGAAAATCCATCCAGTAGCAGCAGAATATACTTTTTTTCAAGAACACATTGTCTTTCTTTAAAACTGGCCAAATTCTGAGCCACTAAAGAAACCTCAGTTTTAAAAGAAATGAAATCACAGATATAAGACTGATTGTAATTTAAGGAAACTAGAAACTGATAAGAGAAAAATATCTAGATAATCCCCAAACACTTTAAAAATAAACACCACACTTCTAAATAACCCATGGCAAAGAAGAAGTCAAATAGAAAGTTAGTTCTGAAATCATTGTAAATGAAAAGGGAACAAAGTAAAACAATGGTTAGAGGAAAATTTCTAGTATTAATGAGAATACTTAAGAGAAGAAGAAAGACTTCAAATCAATTATTTCACTTTAAGCTCAAGAGAAAGAATAGCATATCAAGCCAAGTGCAAGAGTGGAAGCTACAGAGATGAAGAGAATTCAATGAAAATGAAAGTATAAAATTTATAGTAAAAAACAATGAAATCAAAAGCTGGATAGTTGAAAAATTAATAATAATTAATAAAGCAGTCAGATAACTTGTTGTCTGGGTTCATAGCTAGATGGGAATTTTGCCTCAACATGAATCATAACCATAGTCTCATCCATAGATGATTTAGATGAGATTTTTATGAGATGTTGGAATTACAGTTGATGCTAAAATGGATGAACACTTTTGGGGATGTTGGAATGGGGGTGAATGTATTTTGCATGCGAAAAGGACATGAACTGGGGGAGGGCAAAGGGCAGACTGTTATAGGTTCAGCTGTGTCCTCCGCAAAATTCAAATGTTGAAATCCTAACCCTCAGTACCTCAAAATATGACCTTGTTTAGAGATGGGATCTTTATAGAGGTAATCAAGTTAAGATCAAGTAATTAGGGTGAGGTCGAATCCAATATCACTGCTGCCCTGAAAGAACGGAAAATATGACACAGGCACACATAGAGGAAAAACAATATGAAAAAGAAAAGGCCACTTACAAACCAAGGAAACAAACATAGAGTAGACCATTCACTCACAACCTTCAGAAGGAACCAACTCAGCTGACACCTTGAATTTTGACTTCCAGGATCCAGAACCGTGAGAAAATAAATTTCTGTTGTTTACGCCAACAAGTTTGTGGTACTTAGTTATGAGAGCCTTAGCAAATTAATACAATAGACCTATAGTAAAACCTAAAATTATAAATATTTTAGGGAAAACATAGGAGAAAATCTTGTGACCTTGGATTAGGCAAAGATTTCTTAAATAATATGAAAAAACAACATCTTTAAAACTTGTTAATTTGAGCTTCATCTAAATTTAAAGTTTTGTTCCTTAGAATGGCACTGTTACAAAATAAAAAGACGACCCAAAAATGGGGAAAATATATTTGAAAAGGATATATCTGATTAATAAATTGTATGTGAAATAGTTAAACTCAATGAGAAAAATTAACCCAATAAGATATGACAAAAGATCTCGACAGACATGTACCAAAGAAGGAACGCACAAAAGCACATATAAAGATACCTCTGGCATTATTAGTTATTCAGGAAATGCAAATGACTACCACAATTAGATAGCACAACATCCCTGTTAAAATGCCTAAAATCCAACAAAACTGATATTACCAATTTCTCACAAGGATGTGAATCATTCATTGGAAACTCATTCATTGCCAATGGGAATGCAAAATTATACAGCCACTCAGGAAAACAGTTTGGCATTTTCTTATAAAGTTAAACATAAACTTACCACATAACCCAATAGTCGTACTCAAGGTATTCATCCACAACTTACAATGATATTCACACAAATATCTGTACACAGATGTTTATAGAAGGTATATTTGCAATTGGCAGAAACCATAAGCAACAAAAATATCTTCTTATTGGCGAGTAAACAAATGGTGCTATATCCACACAACAGAACATTACACAGAAATAAAAAGAAACCAACTACTAACAAAGGCTACAACACTGATGATTATAAAGAATCCAGACTCAAAGAAGCTATTTATAACATAAATCTCTGTTAATATTGCATTCTTGAATGGGCAAAATTATAGAGATAGCAAAACAGATCAGTAGTTGCTGGTCATGAGTGTAAGCATTTACAAAGGGGCAGGAATTAACTTTTTTGATTGATGGAAATATTCTTTATGTTTATTTTTGTGGTGATGATTACACAGCTGAATTCATTTATCAATAACTATAGAATGGTATACTCTAAATAGTGAATTTTCATGTATGTAAATTGTACTGCAGTATCCCTGTCAATAAATAGTGCAGTTTCCAATAAAAGACCCTCAAATAATACGTACATGGCTGTGAAGCCAAATTTTGCTGTTTCATAACTTTGTGACTTTGAAAAAGTTACTTTACCTCTCTAGACCACAGTTTCTTCTGCTATAAACATATAATGATCAAATGGTTATAATGAATGAGATAAACAAACATAAAATATTAATACAATGTGCAATAGATAACTACTACCTCATTAGCAGTTATATTTGTGTTTTCAAAAATGTCTAGAACTGTACTGTACAATATCATAGTCTTTAGCTAGTTTATCATTTTCACTTGCCACATTTCAAGTGCTTAATAACCACTTGTGGCTAGTGGTTACCATATTAGCCACTACATTGGCCATCATTTCCATCAACAAAAGCTATTTCAGTGTACAATGCTTGACTAGAACAATATTTTTACAATTATTAGTATGCAATAAATGCTTATTGAATGGATAAAAGTTGAAATCAGGACAGCATTTTTCTTTACTGTAACTAAGTATACTTTTTATTTAACAGCTTCCTACAGAATTCTGAAAGTTTCTATATTTGTTTTATTAATATTTGAATTTTTTAAAACCAGTATCTGCCCCAATAGAAACTTTGGAAAATTTTCTGTAATATCTAATAATTTCCTCAATTTTCAGGAATAAAAACTGTTTGGGGTATATGAATTTCCATTAATACGACTTTCAAAAGTGCATTCCGAATACCATGAATAGGCACTGGGGTACAGAGAGGAATATAGAAAGCCCCCTTTAATTTTGGTTCAGGGAGCAGAAAAGTGAATGCCTACTGTTCAAAGGGTGTTCACTTTCCTTGTCTATTGCCTATGTCCTAGATTCCATGTAATCTCTAGCGTAGAAACAGGAGCACAGGAATCTCCCTCTCTGACCACAGGAGCTATGGCATAAAGAAAGTGGGGCCAAGCACATTGATTTTTTGTTTTGTTTTGTTTTTGCTCTCTGACTTCCCACCACTTGAACTTGAATGCACACACAGGAGTGGAAGTGCACGATATAGTGGGGTAACTAAGTCTCAAGCATCCGGCCAAAAGACTGAAAAGAGGACACCCAAAGAACTGGAAGGTACAGGAGAGCTTAGGAAAAAAGGAGGCAGTGAGGACAATGAGCCAATAAAAGTGGCTATGACATCCTGAAATCAATCCTGGGCTGTGCATACACAGGGATCTGATGTTAATGTGCCTGCCAAAGACTTTAATATCTAAATTAACAGATATACCACTGACCAAGTGCCAAAATGGCCTAGGTAATGTACACAAAGGATAGATCCAAAAATCACTGCACAGACTTTAAAAACAGCAATTACCTTGTAAGCACAATACACACGGCATAGATGAGAAATTGTTGCCTAAACATGAATAGTCCCATTCACTGAGAAAGAAAAACTATCAGCATTCTGCACAGGGAATATTCTGCCTAGACTTTAAATAATACTGGTATAATACTCAAAATATACAGCATATAGTTCAAAATTATTAGACCCAGAGTAAACCCAAAAGTTTTCATGGAAAAATTTCCCCAGGGGAAAAAATCATAATTGGTGAGAATTATTTTAGAACAAAAACTTAAAGCCTCTGGAAATAGTCCAAATTGCATATAGCAAAAGAAAAAATATTTATTAAAAAATATCTGCTAAATCTCGATGAGAATAGCAAGTGTCTACAACAAAAGCCATGAAATTCTCTCTACCTCCACTCAGCAACATAGGTGCTCCACTCTGAATTGATGTGACAAAAATCACAGGCCTCCCTCTTTTCCCAGTTTACAGCTGAATGTTACAATATCTCCTAAAAGACACAAACCATTTCTCATTTCTCATCATCCCCAGTTTTGTGTTGCAAAACTCTCTTCCAGAGCAGCTGAGAGCTTTGGAGCTCACTCACTCCACCAAACCACATGTCATATGGTAGTAGCTCTATTACAGGTGAAGCAGGCCAAGAGCAATGGGGCCCATATCATCCTTGCCCCATGTGATTCAAAGGGTGAAGGTTCCATTCTGGGATACGCAAGCTAATAATGAAAGAGGCAACTTCTGGCTGGGCATGGTGGCTCATGTCTCTAATCCCAGCACTTTAGGAGGCTGAGGCAGGTGGATCACTTGAGGTCAGGAGTTCAAGACCATCCGGGGTAACATGGCAAAACCCGTCTCTACCAAAAATACAAATATTAGCTGGGTATGGTGGTGTGCACCTGTAGTCCTAGCTACTCAGGAGGCTGAGGTGGGAGAATCGCTTGAACTTTGGAGGTGAAGTTTGCAGTGAGCCAAGATTGTGCCACTGCACTCCAGCTGGTTGACAGAGAGAGACTCTTTGAAAGAAAGAAAGAAAGAAAGAAAGAAAGAAAGAAAGAAAGAAAGAAAGAAAAGAAGGAAGGAAGGAAGGGAAAGAAAGAGAGAGGAAGAGAAAGAAAAAAGAAAAAGAAAGAAGAAAAGAGGCAATTTCTGAAAGAAAGGGAAAGAAAGGAAGAGGAAGAGAAAGGAAGAAAGAAAAAGAAAGAAAGAGAAAGAAAGAAGAAAAGAGGCAATTTCTTTTTTCATTCTGAGAGAAATGAGCCACCCTCCTTACCCCCAACTCCAGAGCAGTGATGCAGGTTTTTCCCCTAGAAAGGAAGGAATTGGCCACAATAATAGAAAACTAAGATAAATAAAATGTGGCACATATACACCATGGAATACTACGCAGCCATTAAAAAGGATGAGTTCATGTCCTTTGTAGGGACATGGATGAAGCTGGATACCATCATTCTCAGCAAACTATTGCAAGGACAAAAAACCAAACACCGCATGTTCTCACTCATAGGTGGGAATTGAACAATGAGAACACTTGGACACAGGAAGGGGAACATCACACACTGGGGCCTGTCGTGGGGTGGCGGGAGGGGCGAGGGATAGCATTAGGAGATATACCTAGTGTAAATGACGAGTTAATGGGTGCAGCACACCAACATGGCACATGTATACATATGTAACAAACCTGCACATTGTGCACATGTACCCTAGAACGTAAATTATAATAAACACAAAAAAAAAAAAGAAAAGAAAACTAAGAAGCTCTCCCTAAGGAGGCTAACTTTTTTTTGGAACAGTGTGGGAAGTTCAAACTTAAGGGTACTCTTAAATACAATGGAGATTTTAGATGTAAGCAGTGACGAGGAAAGAAATAAAGGGGTTACAACTTAGCTCCATGAGAGAAAAAAGCTAAGCCACAGACCAGCTTGTTAACCAGCAAGGATCATGGAAAGGAGAGCAATTTCTCTCCTGTGGTAGAAAAAAACCGCAAAGACTACCCTATAAAACTACCCTTGCAAAGACACTGGAATATAATTGGATCAGACTATGCAGCATTTATGTTCCAATGCACTGTCAAAACAATAGAATAATAAACTGTAACTCAGAGCTAACAGCTGGGTGTGATACCAACAGACAAATGGCTTAACACAGATACCAGTGAAAGTGACAGTCAAAGAGAACGATGCTAAAACCTTGTAATTTCATGATGACTATACTTAAGCCTAAGGATGCCTCCTCTAAGGACAGACAAAATAAACATTTTTAAAATGTTACCAGCAATAAAGAGGGACATTTTATAATTATAATGGTCACTATATCAGGAAGATGTAATAATTACAAACATACATGATATGGTTTGGCTGTGTCCCCACCCAAATCTCATCTTGAATTCCCGTGTTGTGGGAGGGACCTGGTGGGAGGTAATTGAATCATGGGGGCAGGTCTTTTCCATGCTGTTCTCGTGATAGTGAATAAATCTCACGAGATATGATGGTTTTTAAAAGGAGAGCTTCCTTGCACAGGCTCCCTTCTCTTGTCTGCCACCATGTGAAATGTGCCTTTCACCTTCCACCATGATTGCGAGGCCTCCCCAGCCACGTGGGACTGTAAGTCCATTACCTCTTTCTTCTGTAAATTGCCCAGTATTGGGTATATCTTTATCAGCAGTGTGAAAACGGACTAATACAATATATGTGCCTGAAATTACAGCCCTGGAGTAATGATGCAAAGCCTCAAGGAATGAAGGGAAAATAAACAATTCTAATAATGATCGGAGACTTCAATATTCCACTTACAATAACACATAGAAAAACTAGACAAAATATCACTAAGGAAATATAAAGTTTGAACAATACTGTAAAGCAATTAGATAAACAAGACATCTAGAGACTGCTCCACCAAAACCCATTGGAAACCTACTCTCAAGTGCATATGGATGGAACATTCTCCAGGATAAACCACATGCTAGACAATAAAACAAATCTCAATAAATTTAAAGAATTTAAATCAAGCAAAGTATATCCTCTGACCACAGTAGAACTAATTTGAAATTAATAACAAAAAGAAATTTAGGAAATATAAGGAAATTGAAATACACACTTCTAAATAACCAAAGGATGAAAGATGAGATCACAAGGAAAATTAGAAAGTAGTTTGAGATTAATAAAAATGAAGACATGAAACACCAAAATGCATTGAATGCAGCTAAAGAAGTGCTTAAGGGAGAAATTACAGTTGTAAAATACTACACTAAAAATGAAGACAGAAAGACATCCTGTGTTCATGATTTGGAAAACAATATTGTTAAGATGTCAGTGCTCACCACAGCAATTAACAGACTCAATGCAATTCGAATCAATATCGCAATTGCCTTTTTGCAGAACTAGGAAACCCAAACATATAATTCATATGGAATTGCAAGGGGCCCTGAATAGGCAAAACATCTTGGAAAAGAAAAACAGTGCTCAGGGACTCAAACTTCCCAATTTCAAAACTTACTACAAGACTGCATTAATCAAGGCAGTCTAGAACTTTTGTAAAGATAGACATGTAGATCAATGAAAGAGAAATGAAAATCCAATAATAGACCTATAAATATGTGGTTAATTGACTTTCAACAACATTGATAAGGACACTCAATGGGGAAAAAAAAACAGTTGCTTCAACAAGTGGTGCTAGGATAACCACAGCTAAAGCTATAAAACTTTTAGAAGAAATTATAAGGGTACATCTTGGTGATTTTGGATGTGGCAATAGTTTCTTAGATATGGCACTGAGGGGACAAGCAACAAAAGGAAAAATAGATAAATTGGAATTCACAAAAATAAAACATTTTGTGCATCAGATGACATATCAAGAGAGTTAAAAAGACAACGGACAGAACTCGAGAGAATATTTTAAAACTATGTATCTGATAAATCTATATCCAAAAACCGTGGAGAACCCTAATAACTTAAAAAAAGACAAAAAATTAAATAATTAAACCAATTAAGTAATAGACAAAGGATTTGAATAGACATTTCTCCAAAGAACATGTACAAATGGCCAATAAGAACAAGAAAAATGCTCAACATCATTAGTCATTAGTAAAAAGTAAATCAAAACCACAATGAAATATGCACAGTGGGGGTCATAATGAAAAAATCAGAAAATACGCGTTTGAAAAGACGTGGAGAAATTAAAATTCATATACATTGCTGGTAAGAATGTACAATGATGCAATTACTGTGTAAAACAGTTTGGTAGTTCCTAAAAAAGTTAGACACGAGATTACCATATGACCCAAAATTTCTACTCTTACGTAAATACTCAAAAGAATTGAAAACAGGTATTAAAATAAAAATTGTACAAAAATGTTTATAGCAGCAAATGTCCATCAACTGATAAATGGATTAAAAAATTGTAATATATCTGTATAACGGAATATTATTCAGCCATAGAAAAGAATGGGAACTAATACTTGCTGCAACATGGATGAGACTTGAAAACATTATGTTATATGAAAGATGCCAAGTACAGAAGGCCATATATTGTATGAATACATTTACATGAAATGAAATATTCAGAATAGATAAATATCCAGAATTTAGAGACAGAAAGCAGATTGGTGGTAACAACAGGCAGGGACTAGGGAGTAATAGCAAATAACTTTAATGAGTATGGGGTTTCACTTTCAGGTCTTGAAAAAGTTCTGAAACTACATATTAGTGAGAGTTGTACAATACTGTAACTTTGTAAATTGAATATATGTAAAACTATATATATATAAAACTATATATAACTATATATATGTAAAACTATATATATAACTATAGCTCAATTACAACCAGAAAATGCAGAAAAGGAATAGGAAACACATATAGAAAGAAAGACAAAGGGCAATGAATAAAAATAGTTACAAACATGGAAGATATTAACCAACTATATCAATAATCACTTTAAAAGTCAATGACTTAAATACCCAAATAAAAAGACAGACACTGTCACAGTGGATTTAAGAAAAGACTGCCCAACTCTTGCTTTTTTACAAGAAATCAACTTTAAACTTAAAGACAGAAATAGATTAAAAGTAAAAAGGTAGAGAATTATATATCATGCTAGCACTAATCTAAAGAAAGCTGAAGTAGCTTAGCCAGGCATGGTGGCTCACTCCTATCATCTCAGCACTTTGAGATCCTGAGGTGGGAGGATCACTTGAGGCCAAAAGTTTGAGAACAGCTTGAGCAAAATAGCAAGACTCAGTCTCCACAAAAAATTTTAAAAACTAAAATTATCCAGACAGGATGATGCACAACTGTAGTCCAAGCTATTTGGGAGGATCGCTTGAGCCAAAAAATATTGAGGTTGCAGTGAGCTATGATCATGCCACTGCACTGCAGCTGGGATAACAGAGTGAGATCCTGACTCTAAAAATTAAAAAATATATAATTGAAGAAGAAAACAAGCTGGAGTAGCTATATCAATTTCAGATAAATGAAACTTTCAGAACCAAAAAATTTACAGAGATAAAGAAGGGAATTAAAAAATGATAAAGGAGTCAATTTGCTATGAAAACATAACAATTCTGAAGGTGAATGTGCCTAACAACACAGCACAAGATACATGAGGCAAAACTGATAAAATTTCAAGGGTAAAAAAATGAACCCATTGTTATAGTTGTACATTTCAGCAGCCATCTATCAGTAATTCACAGACCTGGCCGACAGAAAATATCTTAGGACAGAATTAAACTGAATAAGACCATCAGTCAACTGGCTCTACTTGATATTTATATATTTTTCATCCAATAACAGCAAAATACACATTCTTTATAAACTTACATGGATTATTTACCAAGACTGACCAGAATCTAAGCTATAAAATGCTCCCAGGCTCTGATGACATTAAACTAGAAATCAATAACAAAAAATACCTGGAAAACCCCAATATGTAGAGATTAAACAGCACATTTCTACATAACACGTTTATGGAAAAAAAAAGTTTCAAGATAAATTAAAAGTGTTTTGAATGAAATGAAAATAAAAATACAACTTATCAAAATTTATTAGATGCAATGATGCAGTGCTGACAGAGAAACTTGTAGATCAGCATGTATATATTAGAAAATAGGTTATCCATGCTTCTGCCTTTGGAAACTGTAAAGAAGAAGATCATATTAAAACAAAATAAGCAGAAAAAAGTAATAGTAAAAATTACTGCAAAAATCAATGTGATTGATAACATGAAATCACTGAAACTAAAACTTGATTCTCTGAAAAAAATCAATAAAACCAGTAAACCTCTAAACAAGATAACTAAGAAAACAAAAGAGGTATCACATAAATTACTAATATAAAAAATGAGAAGACAGTTATCATTACTGTTCCTAAAAACAATTTTAAAATAATAAAGGAATATTATAAACAACTGTGGGCCCACAAATTTGATAACATAGGTGAAGCAGACCAATTCCTTGAAAGAGTCAATTACCAAAATTCACACAAGAAGAAATGAACAATCTGATGAGGATCATATTTATTAAAGAAATTGAATCAATTATTAATAATTTTCTAAAAGAATAATAACCAGGCTACGATGGGTGTACTGGTGAATTCTACCAAACATTTAAGGAAGAAGTTATACCAGTTCTCCATAATCTTTTCCAGAAAATATAAGCAAATGGAATACTTCCTCACTAATTCTATGAGGCCAGTGATACCCTAATAAAAAAACAGATAAAAATATTACAAGAAATTAAAACTGCAGATCAATATTACTGAAAAACATAGATGAAAATGTTCTCAAAAATGCCAGCCACTAAAATTCAACAATATATTGTCCAGGCACAGTGACTCATGCCTGTAATCCCAGAAATTTGGGAGGCTGAGGCGGGCAGATGACTTGAGGTCAGGAGTTCGAGATCAGCCTGGTCAACATGGTGAAACCCCATCTCTACAAAAAGTACAAAACTTAGCCAAGCATGATTTAGGGAGCCTGTAATCCCAGCTACTCGGGAGGCTGAGGCAGGAGAATCGCTTGAACCCAGAAGGTGGAGGTTGCAGTGAGCCAAAATCCTGCCACTGCACTCCACCCTGGGTGACAGAGTGAGACACTGTCTCAAAAAATAAAATAAAATAAAATAAAATAAAATAAAATAAAATAAAAAAATATATATATGAAAGAATTACATCATGATCAAATAGGGTTTACTTCAAGTGTGCAAGGTTGGATTAACATACAAAATTCAATTAATCAGTTATATCAAGAGAATAAAGAATAAAAATAATATGATAAAATTAATAGATGCGAAAAACCAGTTTACAAAATAAAACATTCATTCACCTTAAAAACTCTCAACAAGACAGAAATAGAGAAAAATCTATTCAACTTGATAAAGAACATCCACAGAAATCCTACAGCTAATTTTATATTATACTTAATGGTCAGAAACTAAATGTTTCTCTGCTAAGGTCAAGAAAATATCAAGGATATCCCCTCTCACCATTTATCATCAACATCATACTGAAAGTCCAAGCCAACATAATAGGAAAAGAAAAGAAAATACAGGATATACATATTGAAAAGAAGAAAATAAAACTGGCTTTGTTTGTAGATGACATGATTGTGTATACAGCTGATCCCAAATAAAATAACTCTTTGAACTAATAAGCAATTACAGCAAGTTTGCAGGATACATGGTTACATATCCAACTCAACTGCTTTCCTCTATACCAGCAATGCACAATTAAAATTTGAACTTGAAAACAAACCTTCCTTTACATCCGCACCAAAAATGAAATAACTAGATATAAATCTAACAAAGTATTTATAAGAAATATAGGAGAAAAACTACAAAACTCTAATAACAGAAATCCATGTAGACCTAAATAAATACAAGCATATTCTACATTCATGGATGTAAGCAATTAATATAATTAAGATATCAGTTCTACATAACTTGATGTATACATTCAACACAATCCCAATCAAAATCCCAGAAAATTAGTTTGTGAAATTGGTAAACTCATTCTAACGTTTATATGAAAATGCAAAAGATCTGGAATGGCCACCACAATACTGAAAGAAAAAAGCAAAGTCAGAGGACTGATACCACCTTATTCCAAGACTTACTATAAATTTATAGTAATCAAGACAGTGTGGTAATAGTGGGTAACAGTGAAAGAATAAACAAAAACATCAATGAAACAGACTAGAGAGCCCAGAAATAGACCCACACAAATATAGTCAACTTTGACAAACTGCAAAGGCAAGTCATGGAGAAATCATAATCTTTTTAACAAATGATACTGGATATCCACATGCAAAAAGAAAAATGAATCTAGATACAGATCTTACACCATTTACAACAATTTAATTAAGAATGGATTCTAGACCTGAATATAAAACACAAAATTATAAAACTCCTAGAAAATAACATAGGAAAAAATCTAATATACCTTGGGTTTGATGAAGACTTTTTAGATATAACACCATAAGCACAATCGATAAAATAAAAAAAAATCATAGTTTAGAACTTTAAAAATTTTGGAAATTTAGAACTTTTGCTCTGCCAAAAAGGTTATTACAAGAATGGAAAGACAAGCCACAGGCCAGAAACGAATCTTACAAAACACATATATGATATAGGGTTTATTCTAAAATATACAAAGAATATATAACTCTCAACAATAAGAAAATAAACAATCAAATTAAAAATTTAGCCAAAGAAGCCGGGAGCGGTGGTTCACGCCTATAATCCCAGCACTTTGGGAGGCTGAGGCGGGTGAATCATGAGGTCAGGAGTTCGACACCAGCCTGGCCAATATGGTGAAACTCCATCTCTACTAAAAATACAAAAATCAGCCAGGTGTAGAGTTGCACGCCTGTAGTCCCAGCTACTCGGGAGGCTGAGGCAGAAGAATTGCTTGAACCCAGGAGGCGGAGGTTGCAGTGAGCAGAAATTGTGCAACTGCACTCCAGCCTGGGTGACAGAGCAAGACTCCTTCTCAAAAAAAAAAAAAATAGCCAAAGAACTGAGTAGACACCTAATTAAAGAAGATACACAGATGACAAATAACCATATGAAAAATGCCCAACATCCTATGTTATTAAAAAATTGTAATGTTGGTGGGACTGTAAACTAGTTCAACCATTGTGGAAGTCAGTGTGGCGATTCCTCAGGGATCTAGAACTGGAAATACCATTTGACCCAGCCATCCCATTACTGGGTGTATACCCAAAGGATTATAAATCGTGCTGCTATAAAGACACATACACACATATGTTTATTGCGGCACTATTCACAATAGCAAAGACTTGGAACCAACCCAAATATCCAACAATGATAGACTGGATTAAGAAAATGTGGCACATATACACCATGGTATACTATGCAGCCATAAAAAATGACGAGTTCACATGTCCTACAAAGGACATGGATGAAGCTGGAAACCATCATTCTCAGCAAAC
The DNA here is from genome assembly GCF_000001405.40 of Homo sapiens. Classification (NCBI taxonomy): domain Eukaryota; kingdom Metazoa; phylum Chordata; class Mammalia; order Primates; family Hominidae; genus Homo; species Homo sapiens. Next base: position 86,591,094 of record NC_000023.11, on the reverse strand, counting down.
TATCACAAGGACAAAAAACCAAATACCACATGTTCTCACTCATAGGTGGGAATTGAACAATGAGAACACATGGACACAGGAAGGGGAACATCACACACCGGGGACTGTTGTAGGGTGCGGGGAAGGGGGAAGGGGGAGGGATAGCATTAGGAGATATACCTGATGCTAAATGACGAGTTAATGGGTGCAGCACACCAACATGGCACATGTATACATATGTAACAAACCTGCACGTTGTGCACATGTACCCTAAAACTTAAAGTATAATAATAATAAAATTTAAAAATAAATAAATAAATAAAACTGCGAGATACCTATTTATCTATATACCTATTAGAATGGCTAAAATCCAAAACACAAACACCACAAAATGCTGGCAAGTTTGTGCAGCAACCAGAATTCATATTCACAGCTAGTGAGAACGCAAAATGATAGAAACATCGGAAAGCAAATTATTAGTTTCATACAAAACTAGACATACTCTTGCCATATGATCAAGCAGTTGTGCTTCTTTGTAGTTACCCAAATTAGCTGAAAATGTATAGCCACATATATACCTCCATAAAAATATATACAGCAGCTTCATTGATAATTACTAAAACTTGGAAGCAACTAAGATGTCCTTCAATAAGTGAATGTACCAGTTACTAAACAATATTCTCTCTGTAACAAACCCACTCCTCTGAGCTCTGCTTTGTGATGATGGGGCCAGGACTTATTAGATTTCATTGTTCCTTTGAAAAGAAGGCTTCCTGTAAAGTTCTTCCTCCATAAAGGTACTAGAAGAGACTGGAAGGCTGGGGGAGGAAGAACTGACATACTCTTTTTTGCTTTGCTTCCTGTTCTCAAATTGCCTCAGCAATGGCCCTTTACCTTAGCAGCGCAGTTAATTTCAATCTTCAGCTTCTTTCTTATATTCCTAAACAGTGTCACTGAGCCTCTTCCAAGGTACTAGCAGCGGTGAGACAGTGATCCCTCCTCAGAGGTCTGAGTCCCAGTATAATGGGGACTAAATTTCTACAAGCCAACTCTTTCTCTTTGTTCCCCCAGCCTTAGCGGTGGTAACTGCTTGCTTTAGTTATTTATTATCTGTGTTTCCTAAGTGTTCTCTCTTTGATCTTTCAATACTCCAACACTTAACCAATTTCCCACCTTTAAAAAAGTGAATGTATAAACATACTGCGGTAAAACCAATAAATGGAATGTTATTCAACAATGAAAAGAAATGAGGTATAAGATGTGAAAAGACATGGAGAGACCTTAAGTGCATATTGCTAAGTGAAAGAACGCAGGCTAAAATGCTACATACTGTAAAACTCCAATAGATAACACTCCAGAAAAGGCAAAACTATAGAAACAAGACAAAGATCAGTGGTTATCAGGCATTCAGGGGAAGTGAGAGAGAGGTGAATAGGTGAAGTCAAACTATTCTCTGTAATATTATAATAATAAATACATGATATTATACATTTGTGAAAACTATAGAACTCTACAACACATACAATGGACTCTTACATAAATTATAGACTTTATTTAATAATGTATCGTTATTGGTCCAACACTTATGCCAAATGCGCTACACTAACACAATTTAATAAAAGGAAAATAGTGTGTAAATGAAGAGGGACATATAAAAAGTCACTATAGTTTCCATTCATTCCATTCCATTTCTATAAACTTAAAATGTATCTAAAAAATAAATAATATGATTTTTTTAAAAAATAGAGTGAGGTAATATTTTCCATTCGCTAGAAAAAAACTAACTCTAAATATAGCAGAAGAAAAGAAATAACTAAAATCAGAGCAGAATTGAATAAAATCGAGACCCAAAAATTCATACAGAGTTGTATTCAAAAAACCAAAAGTTGGTTCTTCAAAACAATAAATAAGATCAATAGATCAATAGTTAGATTAACAAAGAATGAGAAGAGAAAATCCAAATGAACACAAGCATAATTAAAGACAAAAACCATACGATCACTTCAATAGAAAGACAAAAACTTTCAATAAAATCCAACATCTCTTCATGATAAATACTCTCAACGAACAAGGCATTGAAGAATCATAACTTAAAATAATAAAAAGCATCTATGACAAATCCACAGCCAACATCATGCTGAATGGGTAAAAGCTGTAAACATTTCCTCTAAGAAGGGGAACAACATGAGGATGCAAGCTCTCAGCACTCCTACTCAACATAGTACTGAAAGTCCTAGCCACGGCAATCATGCAAGAGAAAGAAACATAAAATCATCCTAATAGGAAGAGAGGAAGTCAAAATAACTCTTTGCTGACAAAACAATTCAATACCTAGGAAACCCCAGAGACTCCACCAAAAGGCTCCTAGATCTGATAAATGACTGCAGGAAAGGTTTAGGATTCAAAATCCATTTAGAAAACCCAGTAGCATTTCTGCACCCCAATAACTTCCAAGCTGAGAGCCAAATCAAGAACACAGTCCCATTCACAATAACCACAAACAATAGAATACCTAGGAATAGAGCTAACCAAGGAGATGAAATTTCTCTATGAGGAGAAAATGTTTAAAAACTGCTGAAAGAAATCAGAGATGACAGAAACAAATGGAAAATATTCCATGCTCATGGATTGGAAGAATTAATATCGTTAAAATGGCCATACTGCCAAAAGCAATCGACAGATTTAATGTTCTTCCTATAAAGCTACCAATGTCACTTTTTGCAGAATTAGAAAAATCTATTCTAAAATTCATATTGAACCCAATAGGAGCCTGAATATACAAAGCAGTCCTAAGGGGGAAAAAAGCCAAAGGCATCATGTTATCAGATTCAATCTATACTATAAGGCTATGATGATTGAAACAGCATGGTACTGGCATAAAAACAGCACAGAGACCAATGGAAAGAATAGACTGCCTAGAAAAAAGGCTGCACCCCTACAATGATCTGACTTTCAACAAAGTCAACAAAAATAAACAACAGGAAAATGACTACCTATTTAATAAATGGTGCTGGGATAACTGTCTATCCATACTCAGAAGAATGAAACTAGATCCCTACCTTTTACCATATACAAAACCTAACTCATGATGAATTAAAGATTTAAATTTAAGACCTCAAACTATAAAAATCCTAGAAGAAAACCTAGGAAATACCATTCTGCATATCACCATTGGCAAAGAATTTATGACTAAATCCTCAAAAGCAATTTCAAGAAAAACAAAAATTGACAAGTAGGACCTAATTAAATGAAAGCTTTTGCACAGCAAAACAAACTATAAAGAAAGTAAACAGCCAATGCACAGAATAGAAGCAAATATTTGCAAACTATGCATTCAATAAAGGTTTAATATCCCTAATCTGAAACTTAAATCAATGAGAATAAACAACCACATTTATAAATGGGCAAAGGACATAAACAGACACTTTTCAAAGGAAGACATACAAGCAGCCAACAACCATTTGAACAAATGCTTATCATTAATAAACATCACAGGTTCATGTTAAAAACTCTCAACAAACTATGCATTGAAGAAACATACATCAAAATTAGAGCCATCGATGACAAATCCACATCCAACATCATACTGAATATGCAAAAGTTGGAAGTATTCCCCATGAAAACCTACACAAGGCAAGGATGATCACTCTAACCACCCGTGTTCAACATAGTACTGGAATTCCTAGCCAGAGCAATCAGGCAGAAGAAAGAAAGAAAAGTTATCCAAATAACAAGAGAAGAAGTCAAACTATCTCTATTTGGAGATGTCATGATGCTATATCTATAAGACCCCATAGTCTTTTCGCCAAAGCTTCTTGTTCTGAAAAAATAACTTCAGCAAAGTTTCAGGAGACAAATTCGATGTAGAAAAATCAGTACTATCCCAACACACCAATAACATCCAAACAGAGCCAAATCAAAAACGCAATCCCATTCATAACTGACATGAAAAGAATAAAATGCTTTGGAATATAGCTAACCACAGAGGTGAGAGATCTCTACAATGAGAATTACAAAACACTGCTCAAAGAAATCAGAGATGACACAAACAAATAGAAAAGCATTCCATGCTCATGAATAGGAAGAATCAATATTGTTAAAATGGCCATTCCAAAGCAATGTACAGATTCAGTGTTACTCCTATTGAACTACCAATTACATTCTTCACAGAACTTAAAGAACTATTTTAAAATTTATATGGAATTGAAGAGATACCTAATAGCCAAGGCAACCCTAACCAAAAGGACCAAAGCTGAAGGATCACTTTAACTGCCTTCAAACTGTACTACAAGGCTACAGTAACCAAAACAGCATGGTAATGATACAAAAACAGTCACACAGACCATTGGAACAGAATAGATAGTCCAGACTAAGCCTGCATAATACATCCATCTGATTAGACAAAGCCAACAAAAACAAGCAATGGGGAAAGGACTCCCTATTCAATAAATGGTGCCAGGATAACAGTCTAGTCACATGTAGAAGATTGAAACTGGACCTCTTCTTCACCATACACAAAAATCAACTGAAGATGGATTAAAGACTTAAATGTAAAACCCAAATGTAAAAACTTAAATGTAAAAACCCTGAAAGACAACCTAGGCAATATTCTTCTGGACATAGGACCTGGCAAAGGTTTCATGATGAAGATGGCAAAAGCAATTGCAATAAAAACAAAAACTGACAAATGGAACCTAATTAAACTAGAGAGCTTTTCCATAGCAAAAGAAACTACCAACGGAGTAAACAGACAACCCAAAGAATAGGGGAAAATATTTGCAAACTATGCATCCAACAAAGGTCTAATATCCAGAATCATTAAGGAACTTAAGCAAATTTGCAAGTAAAAAACAAACAACCCCATTAAAAAGTGGGCAAAGGAAATGAACAGACATTTTTCAAAAGAAGACATAGGTGTGGCCAACAAGCATATGAAAAAATACTCAGCATCACTAATCATCACAGAAATGTAAATCAAAACCACAATGAGATACCATCTCATACCAGCAAGACTGGCTATTATTAAAAATGAAAAAAATAACAAATGCTAGCAAGGTTGTAGAGTAAAGGGAATGCTTATACATTGTTGGGGGAATCTAAAATAGTTTCACCACTGTGGAAAGCAGTACATCAATTTTTCAAAGAACTTAAAACAGAATTACCATTCGACCTAGCAATTCCACTATTGGGTATATACTCAAAGGAATATAAATCATTCTACCATGTAGACACATGCACACACATATTCATTACGGCACTATTCACAATAGCAAAGATATGCAATCAACCTAAATTCCCATCAATGACAAATTGAATAATGAAAGTGTGGTACATATACACCATGGAGTACTAAACAGACATAAAAAAGAACAAGATCATTTCCTTTGCTGCAACATGGATGAAACCCCAGGCCATTATGCTAAGCAACTAATGCAAGAACAGAAAATTGAATACCACCACACATTCTCATTTATAAGTGAGAGCTAACCAATGAGCATACATGGACACATAGTAGGGAACAATAGACACCAGGGCCTACCTGAGGATGGAAGGTTGGAGGAGGGAGAGGATCAGAAAAGATCAGAAAATATACCTATAGGGTACTATGCTTATTACCTGGGTGAGGAAATAATCTATATACAAAATCCCCATGACACGCAATTTGCCTGTTTAACAAACCTGCATGTGTACCCCGAACCTAAAATAAAAGTTAAATGATAATAATTAATTAATTAATTAAACCACATTGAGATACCATTTCACATCCATCAGAATAACTATTACTAAAAGCACAAAAAATAACAGATACTGGAAAGGCTATGGAAAAAGGAAACATTACAATGATCGTGAGAATGTAAATTAGTTCAGCCACTGTGGTATGCAGTTTGGAGATTTCTCAAAGATCTTATAACAGAACTATCATTGGACCCAGCAGTATCATTACTGTAAACATATATACCCAAAGGAAAATAAATTATTCTACCAAAAAGACACATGCATGCGTATGTTGATCACAGCACTATTCACAATAGCAAAGACATGACATCAGCCTAGGTGCCCATCAACAGTGGGTTGGATTAAGAAAATCTGGTACCTGTACACCATGGAATACTGCACAGCCATAAAAAAGAATAAAATCATGTTCTTTGCCATGACATAGATTCAGGTGGAGGCCTTCTAAATGAATTAATGCAGTAACGGAAAATCAAATATTGCATGTTCTCATATATAATGAAAGCTAAAAACTGGGCACTTATGGACATAAGGATGGGAACAATAGACACCGGGGTGTACTAGAACACTGAAAAGCTGAAAAGCTACCTATTTTGTACTATAGTCACTACCTGGATGATAGAATCATTCATACAACACACCCCAGTGTCACTCAATATCCCCTGAATCTAAAATTAAATTTTAAACTATACACCCGTTATGTACTCGCAAAAATTATGACTAAGAAAATTAATGAATGACCCAAAAAATGTGGTATGCTACTAAAGCAGTGCTGAGAGCCAAAGTATAGCATTAAGTGCTTATATTATAAAAGAAAGGTGATTTTGAATCAACAATTTAAACTGCCACCTTAAGAATCTACAAAAAGAAGAGAAAAATGAACCTAAATAAAGCAGAATGAAGGATCATATTAAGAGAATAAGCAGAACATATAAAAACAACAGAGAAAATCAATGAATGCAAAAGCTGTTTATTAAATGATTAATAAAACAGGAAAATATCAAACCACGAAAAAGTGAAAAATGGCAAAGGTATCAGAAATAAAAGAGGGAATATCTTAAACACCCAGAATAATTCAAGATAATAATAATAGAATAAAACGAATAAATCTGTGCCCATAAATTGGAAAATTCAAATAAAAAAGAACAATTCCTTAAAAACTGCAAACCACCAGAAGTCACCCAAACTGATATAGATTGCACAGAGACAGCCTATTTCTAAAATCTTCAAAGAAGTTCAAATTAAATAAAAGAAATTAAGTAAAAATTTGAAACAAAGAAATTGAATTCATAGTTGAAAACTTTTCAAAAAACAAATCTCCGGGCCCACGTGATTCTAATGGTGAATTCTATTAATATTCAACATTTAAATAAGAGATAGCACCAATTCTATATAATCTCTTCTAGGAAATAGAAGAGAAGAGAACACTTCCAATTTCTTTTTACTAGGCAGGCATTACTCTCATAACCAAACCAGAAAATGATAGTGTAAAAAAGGAGAAAACTCCATATGAATCTCTCTCAACAATATGGAAACATAAACTCTTAAGAAATATTAACAGAATTCAGTTCTACAAATATATACATACACACACACACACTCACACACACACTATGACCAAGTGGGGTTTATTCCTGAGATGCAAGGCTGGTTATTTATTTGAAAATTAATATATGTATTTCACCACATTAACAGTCTAAAAAAGAAAAACCGTATGGTCTTATCAATTGATGAAAAAAAACATTTGACAAAATCCAATAATAAAGTATGGTTTAAAAAAAAACAGTGCACATGTACCCTAAAACTTAAAGTATAATAATAATAAAATTAAAAAAATTTAAAAAAAGCAGCAAATAGAAATAGAAGATAATTTCCTCTGAAGTAGTTTATTGAATCAAGGAGCTTTTGGGCAAAGACAATGGGATTTTCTAGGTATAGAATCATATCTGCCAACAGAGATACTTTGACTTCTGCTCTACCTATTTCGATGCCTTTCAATTTTTTTTTCTTGCCTGATGGCTCTAGATAGGAATTCCAGTACTATGTTCAATAAGAGTGATAAGGTTTGGCATCCTTGTCTTATTCCAGTTCTCAAACGAAATGCTTCCAGTTTTTTCATGTTCAGTATAATTTGGGGTGTGGGTTTGTCATAGATGGCTATTATTTTGAGATATGTTCCATCAATGTCTAGTTTGTTAAGGGTTTTTTAACATGAAGGAATGTTGAATTTTAGTGAAAGCCTTTTCTGCGTCTATTGAGATGATGATTTACTTTTTGTTTTTAGTTCTGCTTATGTGATAAATCACATTTATTAATTTGCTTATGTTGAATCAACCTTGCATCACAGGGATAAACTCTGCTTGATCATGGTGGATTAGCTTTTCGATGTGCTACTGAATTCGGTTTGTTAGTATTTTGTTGAGAAATTTTGCACCTATTTTCATAAAAAATTTGGCCTAAAATTTTCCTTTTTGTTGTTGTTTCTGCCAGGTTTTGGCATCAGCGTGATGCTTCCATCATAGAATGAGTTAGGCAGGAGTTTCTCCTCCTCATTTTTTTTTTAAATAGTTTTAGTAGGAATGGTACCCGCTCTTCTTTACACATCTGGTAGACTTTAGCAGTGAATCCATCTGGTCCTGGGCTTCTTCCGGTTGGTAGGCTTTTTATTACTGACTCAATTTCAGATCTCGTTATTGGTCAGTTAGGAGATTCAATTTCTTCCTGGTCCAATCTTGGGATGTTGTGCGTTTCCAGGAATATATTCATTTAATTCTAGGTTTTCTAGTTGTGTGCATAGAGATGCTCATAGTAGTATCTGAGGGTTTTTGTGTGTGTGCATGCATTTCTGTAAGGTCAATGGAAATATGACTTTATCATTTCTGATTGTGTTTATTTGGATTTTTTCTTTATTCATCTATCTACCAGTCTATTAATCTTATTTATTCTTTCAAAAAAATAAACTCCTGAATTCATTGCTCTTTTTTATTTTTTATTTTTGCATTTTAATTTTGTTCATTTCAGCTCTGATTTTGGTTATTTCCTGTCTTCTGCTACCTATATTGCTGGTTTGCTTGTGTTTCTCTAGTCCCTTTAGGTGTGATGTTAGGTTGTTAACTTCAGATCTTTTTAACTTTTTGATGTGGGCATTTAGTGCTATAAATTTTCCTCTATAACACTCCTGTAGCTATTTCCCAGAGATTCTAGTTTGTTTTATTTTTTTCTCATTTGTTTCAAATAATTTCTGTCTTAATTTCATTGATAACCCAAAAGTTACTCAGGAGAAGGTTGTTTAATTTCAATGTAATGTAATATGTTTTTGAGAGATTTCCTTAGTATTGATTTCCATTTTATTATACTGTTGTCTTTGAGTGTGGATGGCATAATTTCTGTTTTGAACTGGATGAGAATTGTTTTATGCCAGATTTTATGGTCAATTTTAGAGTCTGTGCCATATGTAAATGAAAAGAATGTATATTCTGTTGTTTTAGGGTAGGCTTATTGGTCAAGTGTTGAGTTCAGGTCCTAAATATCTCTGTTAGTTTTCTGCCTCAATAATCTGTCTAACACTTTCAGTGGGGTGTTAAAGTCTCCCGCTCAAAATTATTGTGTGGTTATATAAGTCTCTTCATAGGTCTCTAAGAACTTGCATTATGAATCTGAGTGCTCTTGTGTTGGGTGTATCTATATTTAGGATAGTTACTTCTTCTTGTTGAATTGAACTAATTACCATTATGTAATGCCAATTTTTTATTTTTTTTTCTTTTTGTTGTACTGAAATCTGCTTTTTGTAAAATTACAATAGCAACCCCTGTTTTTTTGTTTTGTTTTGTTTTCTGTTTGCTTGGTAGAGTTTTCTCCAAGCTCCATTTACTTTGAGCCTATGGGTGTCATTGCATGTGAGATGCATCTCTCAAACACTGCACACCATTGAGTCTTGCTTATTTCTCCCACTTTGCCACTCTGTGCCTTTTAGCTGGAGCATTTAGCCCACATACATTCAAGTTTAATATTGGTATGTGTGGATTCACTGTCATTGTGATGTTAGCTGGTTATTATGCAGACTTGTTTGTGTGATTGCTGTATAGTGTCAATGATCTATGTACTCAGGTGTGTTTTTGAGGTGGTTGGTAGTGGTCTTTCCTTTCCATATTTAGCATCCCTTCAGGATCTCTTAGAAGGCAGATCTGGTGGTAAAATTGCCCTTAGCATTTGCTTGTATTAGAAGGATCTTATTTCTCCTTTCTTAGTTTGGCCAGAAATGAAATCCTTTGTTGGAATTTATTTTCCTTAAGAATGTTGAATATAAGCCCCCATTCGCTTCTGCTTATAGGGTTTCTGATGAAAGGTCTACTGTTAGCCTGATGGGGTTCCCTTTGTAGGTGACCTGCCCCTTCCCTCTAGCTGCATTTAATTTTTTAAAATTTCATGTTGACCTTGGAGAATTTCATAACTATGTGTCCTGGGGATTGTCATCTTGTACAGTATTCAACAAGGGTTCTCTACATTTTCTGAATTTGAATGTTGGGATTTGTAGCAATAGTGGGGAAATTTTTATGGATGATATATTCAAATATGTTTTCCACGTTGCTTATTTTCTCTCCCTATTTCAGGGGCACTAATGAGTGCTAGATTTGTACTCTTCACATAATCCCTTATTTCTCAAAAGCTTTGTTCATTTTTCTTTATTCTTTCTTCTTTAGTTTTATCTGACCGACTTATTTGGAGAACCAGTCTTCATGCTCTTAGTTTCTTTCCTCAGCTTGGTTGATTCTGCTGTTATTACTTGTGATTGTATTATGAAATTCTTGATGTGAGTTTTTCAGCTCTATCAGATTAGTTTGGTTATTTCTTAAAACGGCCATGTCATCTTTCATCTCCTCTGTTATTTTTTGTTATTATTTAGAATCATTGAATTGGGTTTCAATTTTATCCTGAATCTCAATAATCTTCATTTGTGTCCATATTCTGAATTCTATTTCTGTCATTTACACCATTTCAGCATAGTTAAGTTCAATACTAGTTCAGGAACTAGTACAGTCATTTAGAGGTGAGAAGATGTTGTGGCTTTTCAAGTTGCCAGATTTCTTGCACTGGTTCTCTCTCATTTCTGTGTGCTAATGTTCCTTCAGTGTTTGAAGTTGCTATCCTTTGAATGGGATTTTAAAAATGTTATCTTCTTTGATGCCCTTGGGGGTTTGATTTTAGTATAAGGTGGGGTTTAGTCAACTGGCTTCATTTCTGGAAGATTTTAGCGGGCTAAGACTCAAGTAAGAGCTCCTGGTCTGCATGCTCAAACTCTCATGAGCTGGTACTGGGCTCCCAGCTTTGTTCACTGGCCCCTCAAGGTTAGAAACCTGCTGCACTGGAGGGGCTGAGGTGTTCCTGGTGTGCTGGCCACCGAACTCCTCTGGGTGGTGCATGCCAAAGCACTTCATCAAAGTCACTGCAGTATAATCTGTGCTCACTTGCATGTGCCAGCAGCCATGGCAGCACGGCAGGCTGCACGCATGTAGGCTGTGGTGGTATAGCAGTGTAAGCAAAGTGCTAACTAATTTTTGAATGGAAAACAATCATCTTCAACAAATGATATGTAAAAATTGCAAGCTATATGCCAACAGGAACATCTACCTAAACCTTACACTTTATGCAAAATATAAAATATATCTAAATGTAAAACAATAACAAGATCCATACTGAAAAGAATAATAAATTGGATTTCATAAAAATTAATAACATTTGTTCTGTGGAAGGCACTTTTAAGAGAGTAAAAACACAAGCTACAGAATAGGTGGAAATATTTTCAAATCACAAATTCAAATCATTGCACTGATTGGTAGGTAGTTCATTTGTATTTATCTCTAAATACTATTTCATTGTATGGATGTACCACAGTGCATTTTTTTTTTGTCCACTCACCTGAGAGACATATATTATATACAGAATGTATAAAGAGCTTTCAAAACTCCAGTTTAAAAAAACTAAAAAATGGTAGCTGGGTGCAGTGCCTCACATCTATAATCCTAGCACTTTGGAAGGACGAAGTAGGTAGATCACTTGAGGTCAGGAGTTCGAGACCAGCCTGGCCAACACAGTGAAACCTCAACTCTACTAAAAATACAAAAATTAGCCAGGCATAATGGCAGGTGCCTGTAATCCCAGCTACCAGGGAGGCTGAGACAGGAGAATTGCTTGAACCTGGGAGGCGGCGGTTGCAGTGAGCCGAGATTGTGCCATTGCACTCCAGCCTGGGCAACAAGAGCGAAACTCCGTCTCAAAAAAAAAAAAACTAAAAAGTGAACAATAAACTTGAACACATACTCATACTGCACCAAATAATATATGCAGATAAAAATAAGCACATAGAAAATAATCAGCATCATTAGCAATTAGGGAAATGCAAAGTAAATTCATGTCACGATACCACGATATCTGTTAGAATGGCTAAAATTTAGAAATATATATATTGATTTAAAAAACTTGTCAAAGATGAAGATCAACTAGAACAAACATTACTGGTGGGAATACAAAATGCTACATCCACTTTGAAAGAGAATGTAGCAATTATATACTATACAACCCAGTAATAACATTCCTTGATACATACTCACTCAAGTGAACTGAAAACTAATCTACACAAGAAAACCCCCACTATAATTTTTACAGCAACTTCATTCATAATCACCAAAAATATGGTGACTGCCAAGATGTCCTTCAATAGGTGAAAGGCTTAACTATAGTACGTCCATACAGTGTTGGGAAATACAAAAGGAACGACCTACCAGTCCACACAACAATATGGATGAATCTTAAGTGCATATAGCTAAATAAGGAAGCCAGTCTGAAAAAGCTAGATATTCTATGATTCCAATTATATAGCATTCTTGAAATGGCAAAACCAAATAAATATGAATTAATAACCAAGGAAATCTGAGTAAATAATGGATTTTAGTGACAAATAATGTATCAATATTAGTTCAAAAGTAACAAATATACCATAGTAATGTTGAGATGCTAACAACAGGAAAAATCGAATGTCGGAGGTTAAAAAAAAAAAACCTATTTTTCTTCTGCTCTCACACCACACAACAATGAACACAGAGAGTTATGAGATCAAATGTGTGGGGATTTCTCTCCAACAAGAAGAAAGCAATCAATTCTGCAGTGACACCAGCTGAATTTCCTCCAATTTAATGCTGCTGTTACCTGGAGATGGCATTAGATCCCACAGATTGAGGGCTCAGTCCTGCAAGACTGACCTCTCCACCAGACACCAATCAAGCCTGGGTCTCTGAAAGTTCTGGCCCATAGGTTTCAAGTTTGGGTTCACATACTCCCCATTTGTGGTTTGATTAATTTCTTAGTGCCACTCATAGAACTCATGTAAATTCTTACATTTCCCAGTTTATTATAAAGGATATTACAAAGGATACTAAAATCAGATCAAATATTTGAATAGGTCAAGGTATATGGTAAGGGGTGTGAAGCTTCCAGGCCTTCCCTGGACATGTTATCTTCCAGGACCCTCCACATATTCAACAATCCGAAAGCTCTACATAGCCAGCCCTCTTGGGTTCTTAGGAAGACGTTATTAGGTGGGCATGATTGATTAAACCATTGGTCAATGGTGATCAACTTAATCTTCAGCCTTTGTACACTCTCCGGAAGTTCTGCCCTCCAATCATGGCTTGGTCTTTCTGGTGACTAGACCCCCAGGGGCTGCCAGCCATAAGTCAACTCATTAGAATACAAAAAGGCATCACTTTGGAGATTCTGAGGATTTTAGTAGTTGTATGCCAGGAAATCATTAAAGACCAAACAAATATTTTAAAATATCACAAAAGTATAGAGGAAAATTCTGTACTATCTTTGCAACATTTCTGTAAATCTAAAAATATTTTTATATCTTTTATTTAAAATATTCATAAAATCCTATAAAAAGCCTATTCTTCCATATTATTAAAATAAAATTTTAAATGTTAAAATTTAATGGAGGAGCACTGTAGATTAAGATTCTAAATAATAGAGAATTTTGCTATAAAGAAGGCTATAGTATTAATTATAATAGCCTATTAAAAACAACCTGAAAGACATCTACTTCTTATTTTCTCCCATCTTAACTAACTGCTCCTGTTTTGCTCCAAAACAAAACACACACACAAGCACTCAGAAACAAAGAAATGCACATCCCCAAAATCTTTAGAAAATGAAATTAATAGTAACTGCCGTTGGTTTGGTATCTAAATTAGATGCTTTACCCATTGTAGTACCTGACATATAGTATAAAGTAAATATTTCTTGAATATAGTTATTACGATGGCTTAGTTCATTTTGTGTTGCAATAAATGAATACCTGAGATTGGGTAATTAATAAAGAAAAGTAGTTTTTTGGCTCACAGTTCTACAGGCTATACAAGAAGCATGTTGCCAGCATCTGCTTTTGGTGAGGGCCTCAGGTAGCTTCCACTCAGAGCAGAAGGCAAAAGGCAGCTGGTGTGTGCAGAGATTATATGGGAAGGGAGGAAGTGAGAGAGGGAGATGAGGAAGGTGTCAGGTTCTTTTCAACAGTCAGTTCTCAGGGGAACTAACAGAAAGAGAGCTCACCCCCAAGGGAGGCATTGATCTCTTCACGAGGAATCAGACCCTATGACCCAAACACCTCCTAGTAGGCCCTGCCTTCAGAATTAGGATCAAGTTTTCACATGATATTTGGAGAACAAGCATCCAAACTATGGTGTATAATAATGAGTGAAGCAAATGGTATCTAGTATTTGGTTTAGGTCTGAAATTTTGAAAAGAAAATTTTTAAATGTTGCTTTGAAATCAACCCCTTATGCAGATGATGAAACAGAATGGCTAGACTGGAAATAATCGTTTGCAGTAAAACTTTTCTAACCCCAAGAACATTTCACATATTTTATGTTGTGCATATTTCATGTTGAAATCTATGTTGAATTCAAGGAAAGACTACACATTTTAACAAACACCAATAAAAATGTATGTTTTTAAAAAGGATGCCCTTATAAAGTTAGAGTAAAATATGTTAATGCATATTAGGCAAAATCAGGTACTATTTTCTTGTACCTAGCATTCACATATCTCCTTTGTAATGCATATCCTGATTGCCCCACAAAAATGTAATGTAACTTTTTTTTTGCCTCTCTTACAGTATTTGTATTCAGCATTGACTATTTGTGAATGATTTTAGACTACTACAGATTTTAAGCTCTTAAGGACAAATGCTATCTTCTTTATCTATTCATGCTCCATGTTTATCATAGTGCTTGGACCAAAAAAGGCTTTAAGTATTTGTTGAGTAAATGAATGAATGGATGAAGAAAGGAATAATCACAATTACATTGTGTTTCTTTTGAAAATTAGACTTCAAAATGTAACATCTTGCAGGTTCACTGTGCATCTGCACATGCATATATGTAACCAGTAGGTAGTTTTCATAACTAGTAAAGATATTAATTGTTCCATCTACAGTTTATACAGTCTATTTTTCTGTGACCAGTATCGCATATTAATACAAGTGTTGGTTGAGGGGAGGCTACCATCTATGACCATGGGACTAAGTTCTCCCAGAATCCTACAACATGTACTTTACTTGTATGGTGTGAAACCTAGCTGAACTGACCATGTCACACTGTAACATCAAAGTATGATTGATCTTCAGTACTTATTGTGCACTTGTGTATACAAGTAGCCTTGTATTTTCAATGTGTTTTAATGTGCTTTTTCT
The DNA here is from genome assembly GCF_000001405.40 of Homo sapiens. NCBI lineage: Eukaryota > Metazoa > Chordata > Mammalia > Primates > Hominidae > Homo > Homo sapiens. Next base: position 86,575,640 of record NC_000023.11, on the reverse strand, counting down.
TCTATTACATTAATAACTATACCCTCTTTTAGGCATAAAATTAATTCAAGTTTTATAGAATTCTGACCTATGAACAATTATGTTATAATGGAGTTCCAGAGAATTTTTAAAAAGGTTAGGAGCACCACATAAAATTCATTTGCAAATTAGGTAGAATATACTTCAATGTTAAATCACCTTCTTAGGCCCCTTCTTTTAAATGGCATATACAATGCAACTAAAACTGAATAATCACTTGCCAACTTTTATTGAAATCATGGTCACTTTTTGGGATTTTAAGCTTCCCCCCCCACCATTGCATTGCAGCTGAACATAATGAACAATTTGTTTTTAATTCACTGTGACTCACGGGAAAGCCAGATCGATTTTTTGGTCATTAAAATTTGTAAAGAAAAGATTGCTCTCAAGTGCCAAATCTACTATAGAAAGAGTTTAAAGTTGGCATCAGTCTTCACAGATTATTTTTTTACCTCACTGAAATGATGTTTAAAATGGAAACACTGTTCTTTGTGAGCAAGTGCCCAACCTGACATATCAGCAAACCAATGATCCACATTCACTTAAAGAAGAAATTTCTTCCTTCCATTAAGATATTTTTCACCCATCTCTCATATTGATATAGGAATAACTGTAAAATATTTATCATAAATTAGTATTTAAGAAATATTTGTAAGCTATTTTTGTTTTACCATGAGAGATATTTTTTAACTTGAGATTTCATATATGCCCATGAGCTACTAACAAATACATTTTATATAAAGAGAGAATAACTAACGTACACATCTCAGTTTATCAATACTTGATGTATTCCTGATAAGAAAGAGTTCAGGTTTAGGGAATTGAACCTAAAATATTCTGTCCTTCTCCACTGAAACATTGCTGCAGCATAAGGGCATATTAAAATAGATTTCCCAACTTGCTTTGAAACTCCTATTTAATAAACAATGCAAAAATTTCACATGTAACAATACATTCCTTTATTTTAATATTTAAAATACTTAAAGTTTTAAATGTCCAGAATGTATGTGCATAGCTCTCCATACTTGTCCAGGCACAGATAGATGGTTATACATATTGAGTGTGAAAAAGAAGAGAAGCCACATACTGAAAATCTCAAAAATGGCAATATGTATATCTCTAAGCCTAGGCACATGCATTTCTTAATATGAAGGATATTTATAGGTGAACTTTTAGGTTTGTAATTTTTAAGATCAATGGGTCAGAGTAATAATAATGGAGGGTCAGGCAGGCTTCACCAATTAAATGTCACCACAGTAAGCATTAGTGATGCATAGTTTTAATTGGCTGGTAAAAATTAGGTCAACCGAGAGAGATTGTTTATATAGCTACTAAAGAAGACCTGCTTTGAACAGAGCTGCCTAAAAGCTGTTTCCCCAGGTTTAGATTACCAGGAGCCTCTTGGAGTAATCAGAATTTTGTGTGTATTTTGAGAACAAATTCCACCCAATTTGAGGAGTAGTTTTACTCTACTCTTTGGGGTAACTTCAATTCCATCATGGCAGAATAAAAGATTATGCCCTGACTGAATAAGTGACATCAGAATAGGTACCAGGTCATACTTCCTAAACACTTCGGTCATTTAGATATATTCAGCACATAAGCAAATATAAAATAAGATTTTTCAATAATACTGTGCTTTTCACTTGGGTTAGAATATGCTGAATTTTTTTCTTTAACGAGGAGGAGAAGAGTCATGACTAAAACCGCGTTTAAGGGGAGCATGGTATTTAAAGCATGCACATATTGTATGGCTGTATTGAGAAGACATAAAAGTATTTGCAGCCTGAGTAGGGGTAACATGGTATTAAAACCAGTTGAGTGAGGACATACAGTTGGACAGAAGTAGTTTGAATAGTACTGTGGAATTAGGCACATAGAATGGCACACAGTATTTGCTTTATATTTGTAAGTACATTACATTTTTCCTCTGGCAGCACGGCTATTCTTGAGAACAATAAAACCTATGGAGGAAAAAACTTCAGTCCAGGTATTTATAATCACACAGGTGGAGGCTGGTCAATTTATAGGGTCTATCATTTTAGGAGATGCCAATACAAGCCTGGACTGAGTGTCAGTAGCATGGGTCTAGGCCAAGCAATGAACTATCTCTATGGCTTCTAGGGAATATATCACTGCTATCCAACAAGCAATCTCTTTGAATTTCTTCACATCATTTATTTTTGTAAATCTTCCTAATGCATGGGAGAGCCCCAGAGGATTAATGATGACATGTTTTTAAGGATTGATGTTTCCAGTTTCTAATATGAATGGCAGAAGTGAGTCAGATCCAGGTCTCTTCTAGGAGCATACACTCTTCAGTTCTCTTGTCTCCAATTAAAACTACCAGTGGTGATATTTACTGAAAAGTTCTTTGCCTCTCCCCTCCCTTATCTTTTCCTTCTGCTCTTCCCTTATTTCTTGCCTTCTTTTCTCCCTCTATCCCTTTCCCCCTTTCCTCTTTCCTCCCTCCCTCTCTTTCCTCCTCTCTTCCTTTGATCTTTCCTTTGCTTCTTTCATTCTAGTGAGTGTTGAGCATTTTCTATGTACTGGGCACTGACTGAAAATGCAGAGATAAATGCTCCAAGCCCTAGAACTCAGTAACCTAAGTTAAATAAGAGCAAACAGAAATCAAATTTAGCAAACATAAGGAAGGCTACACTTGCCTGGTACTTTTCAATGACAAAGGAAGAACACATGACACAGTTGGTAATGGGGCACAGAGTGGTGGGTGGGAGGAGGGAGCATCATGTGAAATCACTAAAGCTTTTGCTGAAAAAAACGAGCTTCCTGAGACTAGTAATAAGAGTTTAAAATTAGCTAGGTGAAGCTTAGGCACAACATCTGAATCAAACGGAGAAATGAGGTTATGTAAAGTAACAGAGGTTTGAAGCAGTATGGCAGGTTTAGGAGAACTAAGACCTGATACATATGATGAATCTGAAAATGGGCATCTACAAAATCCCTATAGCCAACATCATACTCAATATCTAAATACTAAATGCTTTCCAGGAACAATGCAAGAATGTGTATTCTCGCTATTTCTATTTAGTATTTTACTGGAGGTCCTATCCAGCTAAATAAGGCAATAAGTAAAAGATATACAGAATGAAAAAGAAAAAGTGAAACTGCTGTTATTCCTAAATAATATGAACATGCATGTAGAAAAGATTAAGGATTCTACAGAAAGCTACTAAAATGAATAGCTGAATCTAGTGAGCTCATAGTATACAACATCAATAAACAAAAAATTACACTTCAACAAACTAGCAATAAACATTTGAACACTGAATTTTTTTTTGCATTTCAATATTTCCTTTAATGGTAACAGAATAGATGGAGTTTGGCATAGTATGGTAAGAATTGTCTATCTTTTTTTTATTATACTTTAAGTTCTAGGGTACATGTGCACAACGTGCAGGTTTGTTACATATGTATACATGTGCCGTGTTGGTGTGCTGCACCCATTAACTCATAATTTACATTAGGTATATCTCCTAATGCTATCCCTCCCCCTTCCCCGCACCCCGCAACAGGCCGTGGTGTGTGATGTTCCGCTTTCTGTGTCCAAGTGTTCTCATTGAACTTTGAATTTTTTTAAAAAATCTATATTTACAAAGGCATCAACAAGATACAGGAATGAATTTAGTGAAATATGTGCAAGTTTTGTACCCTAAAAATCATAAAGCATTCCTTTATGAAGGAAATAAAATAATACTTAAAGGGAGAGCTATATATGTCCATGCACTGGAAGATTCAATGTTGTTAACATGGTAGTGTTCCCCAAATTGATCTATTTATTTGATATGATTCCAATCACATCCTCTTAGTAAGCTTTGTTAGAAGAAATTAATTACTTTAATTTAAATTTATAGAGAAAGGCAAAAGACCTAGGATTGCCAATTTAAAAAAAAAATCTTGCGTTACCCGATTTCAAGACTTACAAGCTACAATAATCATCACAGTGGGGTCCTGATGTGAGATTAAGAATAAAAACCTTTCCTGTGTCCATGTGTTCTCATTGCTCAATTCCCACCTATGAGTGAGAACATGCGGTGTTTGGTTTTTTGTCCTTGTGTTAGTTTGCTGAGAATGATGGTTTCCAGTTTCATCCATTTCACATGCACACAGGAAGGGGAACATCACACACCGGGGACTGTTGTGGGGTGGGGGGAGCGGGGAGGGATAGCATTAGGAGATATACCTAATGCTAAATGACAAGTTAATGGGTGCAGCACACCAACATGGCACATGTATACATATGTAACAAACCTGCACGTTGTGCACATGTACCCTAAAACTTAAAAGTATAATAATAATAATAAAAAGAATAAAAACCCATGGGACCTAATAGAGGGTCCAGAAATAGACTCACACTTATATGGTCATTGAATTTCCAACAAAGTTGCCAAGGTAATTCCCTGTGGAAAAGATTTTTAACAAATGATTCTGGGAAAATTGAATATTCATGTAGAAAATAAAACCTCAAAGTTTACCTCATAAGACAAAAAATAATCAACTCAAAGTGGATAATATATTAAAATATAAAAGCAAAAATGATAAAACTTCTATAAGAAAACACAGTAGAAAATCTCTGTGTCATTGTGTTAGGCAAAAATGTATTATACAAAACAAAATCACAAACTATAAAATAAAAATTTGATATAATGTAATTCATTAGAATTGGAAACTACAGCTCTTTGAAAAACACAGGAAAAGGAAAAGACAAATGACTAACTGGGATAAAATCTTTGTAAAATATATATTTGACAAAGAGCTTCCATCCAAACTATATAAAGAAATCTTACAAAACAATAATATAAAACCAACAACCCAATTTTTAAAATGAGTAAAAGATTTTTGAGCATTTTAAACAGACTTTTTTTTTTAAGTTTCTGGGTACATGTGCAGGATGTGAGGTCTGTTACATAGGTAAACGTGTGCCATGGTGGTTTGCTGAACCTGTCAACCCATCAACTAGGAATTAAGCCCAGCATGCATTTTTTTCCTAATGCTCTCCCGCTTCACCCTCCCCCAACAGGCCCCAGTGTGTGTTGTTCCTCTCCCTGTGTCCATGTGTTCTCATTGTTCAGCTCCCATTTATAAGTGAGAACAGGTGGTATTTCGTTTTCCGTTCCTGCATTAGTTTGCAGAGGATAATGGCCTTCCAGCTTCATCCATCTCCCTGCAAAGGACATAATCTCATTCCCCTTTATGGCTGCATAGTATTCCATGATGTATATGTACCACATTTTCTTTATCTAGTCTATCATTAATGGGTATTTGGGTTGATTCCATGTCTTTGCTGTTGTGAATAGTGCTGCAATGAACATACACGTGCATGTATCTTTGTAATAGAATGATTTATATTCCTTTGGGTATATACCCAGTAACGAGATTGCTGGGTCAAATGGTATTTCCAGTTCTAAATCTTTGAGGAACCACCACACAGTCTTCCACAATAGTTGAATAAATTTATATTCCCACCAACAGTGTAAAAGTGTCCCTATTTCTCCACACCTTGCCAGCATCTGTTGTTTCTTGACTTTTTATAATTGCCATTCTGACTGGCATGAGCTGGTATCTCATTGTGGTTTTAATTTGCATTTCTCTAACGATCAATGATGTTCATCTTTTTTTCATATGTTTGTTGGTCACATAAATGTCTTCTTTTGAGAAATGTCTGTACATTTCCTTTGCCCACTTTTTAATGGGTTTGGGTTTCTTTTTGTAAATATGTTTAAGTTCCTTGTAGGTTCTGGATATTAGACCTTTGTCAGATGGATATATTGAGAAAAATGTTCTCCCATTCTGTAGATTGTCTATTTGCTCTGATGATAGTTTCTTTTGCTATGCAGAAGCTCTTTAGTTTAATTAGATCCCATTTATCAATGTTGGCTTTTGTTGGAACTGCTTTTGGAGATTTCATCATAACATCTTTGCCCATGCCTATGTCCAGAAGGGTGTTGCCTAGATTTTCTTCTAGGGTTTTTATAGTTTTAGAAGAAGGATAAATTGTTGAGGGTGAAGATGAGCTTGACTTTCAAAATGCCGAGTTTAAGTCGCATTTTGGACACGTAGGGACCCAGTAGATGGGTGAACGTATAATCTGGAGCTCAGGTGAATGATCTGTATTGGTATTTGATCATCCTCTCCTTTTTTAGAAACGATATATTTTCATTTCAATTTGGTTTGGTTAGTTTGTTTTTGATAATGCAAATGGTTGAGAACTTAAAGGTTAAGCATGGAGAAAGTGCTTCTAATTACACCTTTGTCACAAGTCATGGATGGCTTCATAATTTCAAAAGCTATTAGATCCGTACAGCATTAAAGTGGGCTGCTAAGAAGTTCCCTAGGGCAATTGTGAAGCTCATCAACGATGAGCATTACCTGACTTAACACGTTATTATCACAAACCAAATCTAACTTACTTTGGGAAAAGGTGCTTGGTGAAATGAGTATTAGTAAGGAAGACAAGAGTTTGACTGATATCAAAGCCCTGAAGGACCAACTCACAGTACCATTTAGTAAAAATGCATGTAAAGACTGTGGGCTAAATCTTGTCTGTCACATTCAACTTAAAAACAAATGTGTTTATGTAAAACCTTGTGAGTTTTAGATATGCTCAGATACAGAGGAGCTTCTGTACAGAAGAGAGGAGATAAATAGAACCACAGAAGAAGAAAATACCCAGAAGGTGAAATCGGAAGTGATCAAGACAGACGTAACGAATTTCTTCCCAAATCAATGTCTCCATAACTGTGGGTTTTTGATATTTACTTTATTATTTTACTGCCCACATGTCAATCTTTTTAAATAACAAAATAACAAAAAGGAATGGTCATGTTTATTAAGGAGTAGTGTCTAGCATATAGCTTTACACAGCCCCATTCGTGCATCAGGAATCTAACACAAAGGCCGCAAACATGAATGAAAAAAGAATTTCCTTCACAACTTGACACTTCACACCTTATATTTTCATCCATATAATCTATAGAAAAGTTAGGAAGGTTTGATATTACTTTTCTAAAAACAGATAACTCAAACACTCACTGTTAACCTTCCACTTTAGTCTTCCTCTCTCTTGACTCATATGTTAATTAACACCAATTACTGAAAGTTTTAATAGCAAATTGACTTCTTTTGTTTTGATTTCCAATAGACTTTATTTTAGAGCAGTTTCTGTTCATAGCAAAATTGAGAAAAAAAGTATAGATCCATACACCACCTGACTCCATACATCATAACACCCCTGCAGGCTCCCAGTCACTCACACCAGAGTGGTGCATTTGTTACAATTGATGAACCTATATTGACACATCTTAATCACCCAAAACCCTGAGTTTACATTAGGGTTCACTGTCAGTGCTGTATATTCTATGTGATTTCGCAGTGTATAATGACATTTATCCACAATTAGAGTGTTATACAGAATAGTTTGACACATTAAAAATCCTCTGTGATCCTCCTATTAATCCCTCATTCCCTCCAAACTCTTTTTCACTGTCTCCATAGTTCTGCCTTTTACAGAATGTCAGACCATTGTAATAATACAGTATGGGGCCTTTTTAGATTGGCTTCTTTCACTTAGCAATATGCATTTAAGCTACTCCCATGTCTTTTCATTGCTTGATATTGCATTTCTTTTAGCAGCGAATAATATTCAATTGTCTTGATGTACCACAATTTATTTACCCATTCACCTACTGCAGAATATCTTGGTTGCTTTCATGTTTTGGAAACTATGAAAAAAAAGCTGCTATGCACATCACTATGCAGATTTTGTTTGGATGTAAGTTTTCAGCTCATTTGTGAAAATACCAAGAAGTGTGGACTTTTAAAAAACTCAGCCACAATGACCAACCCTACAGTTTAACAATAAATGCCATTACAGCCTCGTCTACTACAAATACTGTGAACATTTCAAACAGCTGGCCAGTTAACAATATTTACCGGACACCTACAATAAGCACGGCACTGTACTTGCCAAGCTCTGTGGGAGATATGTAGAAATTTTTAAAACTGTATATAGTAACTAGCAAAAATCTTATAAACGAGGGAGAAAGTAAGCACATTCCATACATGTACAAAGGAGGAACGCACATGTTACTCTTTTCTATGGCCACTGCTGATATTCTAGCTCAGGCCTTATCTCCTCAAGATGGGATTATTGCAGCTGCTAATTAGAGCCCAAGCTCCAGACACTCTTCATACCTACCACTCTGCTCCAACATAACCACCTAGATCTGCCAGATAAATCCAGTTAAAATTCCTGTTCCAGTATCCTCTGTTCGAAAGAGTTTCATTGGCTTCCTATTGACTATGGAATAAATTTAGAACTCCAGTTTGGAAAAAAGATAATCATGACAATAAATCACAACCTATCTTTCCAACTTCATCTTCCACTCTTCTCTAAAGTGAATCATTTATTCATCACCCATTCTTCAACATGCCTCATCTTAAACCACATCTGTTTTGATTATACCCTCATTCCACCCTAAGCTTGTTTCCTCTTTACTTACCAAATATCCAAACACTACCCGTCCTTCAAGACATACACTGAAATACACCACACTGAAATATATCCAAGCACATTTCTTGACATATAGTAGTCACTCTGTACATGTTTGGTCAACGGAGTTCATACATATGTAAGAGAAGTGTAAGAAAGTGGAAGGAGCACTTAAGTAGAATTCAGGCAACCTGGGCTCTAATTCCAGCTTTGTCTTTCATTTAAATTTATCTGATTTTGGTTTCTTCATCTGCAAAATAAGGATAATATCTGCTTTGAGTATTTTATAGGATACTTGCGAGGATAAAAGAAATAAGAAATTGAATGTGAAATTATTTTGAAACACAAAGATGTTATTAGGTCATTATAATGATGATGATGATGATGATGAAGTACACTTGCATGTACAGAACAGTTTGCTTTTAAAATAGCCGTCATTAAAGGTCACAATAAAGGTAACCACGTAGTATGGGCATACACATAAATTCATGTCTCACAAATATCTGTTTTTACATATATCTACATAAGCAGTATAATGTATGATGCTCCTACACAATAGCTAACAGTTTTTAATCGACTAAGGCTTATTTTCTGTTCCTGAAAATCATATACATTTTCTAGATAGAATAATAGAAAGGTTGCATTACAACATCACTTGAATTTGTTTGGCTTTTCTATCTGATAGAACTCCCCTCAAAAGTCACTCTCGTTCTAAAGAATGCATTAAAAGCCCAGAAGGAGGCTGCTCAAATGGACTCCTGTTATAAACAAATGTTACAGGCAATAATGGGGAATAAAAAACACTTAATCCTTGCTAACATCTAATGTTGTGGGATAATAACATACATTACTTTACTTCTGTAATTGGAATTCATGTACTATAAGAAACACAAATGTACTTTTAAATGACTTCATTGTAGTTTGAGAAAGTCTATTATTTTTAATGATCTAATTTATCTACATATTACTTATCTATATTAAAGAATTCAGTTAATAGCAAGCAAATTGTTTAGTTTAGTGTCCACAGCCAAAATAATATGTACATACAACATATGCTATTGCATTTAACACACAGTGTTAGCTAAAAGTTGTGAGTTTTTTAAAAAGAGAAATAATTATAACATTTAAAAGAATTAGACCATATTGGCTGCCTAACATAGTCTAAATGTTTTTTACACAAACCATAACTTCCAAAGAGAAAAGAAACTAGATTAACCTATTGAGAATATCAGCAATCATACAAACATATTTCTGTGTGATTTTTCTTTTTTGTACAGAAGGACTTGAAATATTGATAATAATTTAGATTCTTGACTTTTCCTATTTAAATAATCTACTCTCTCAGAGAAACACAGACTTTTCATTTTAGTTAGATAAAGGAGCAACTTGGAAGTCACTTGTGTTTCCATACCTTCTCTAGATTTTCTATTTTTGCTACCACTTATTCCATCATAACTCATTTATTCAAAAAATATTTCTGAGTACCTTCTATGTGCTATAAACGGCCAGATGAAGAAAATAAAAAGAGAATAAGCCACTGTATATATCCCCAACATACTCACAGTCAAGACTGGTTCTCAAAGTTTACTATCCATTAGAATCACCCAGAGGGCTTGTTGAAACAGACTGCTGGGCCCCGCTGCCAATGTTTTTGATTCAGTAGGTCTGGGGTGAAGCCTGAGAATTTGCTTCGAAATTTGTACCCAAGTAATGCTAATGCTGATGGTCCGGGGACCACACTTTGAGAGCCACTAGTCTAGTAGGTGGATACAGACATGTTAATAGAAATAAACAGCAATTTGAAAAGTGAAATAATAGGTGAATATAAAGTATTGTAAAAGAATAGAAAAAGTAATGACTAAATTTTCATGGGGAGTGTCTAAGAAAACTTCACAGAGGAGATAGGAGATAAGCAAGGAAAGGGTACTGCAGGCAGATGAATTTATCTTCTTTATTTTTCAAGTTGATAAATAAGGTTTGAATGGTAGATTGAGGGCAGAATATGGAACCACTTTTACATCATGCAGAGAATTTCAATTTCATCTTGTGAACAATAAATGAATGTCAATGAAGGTTTATATCCATGAAGGTTACATGATGAAATTTGTGTGTCTGACTACATAGAGGATGGGTTGGAGTGAGAAGCGGGTGGAGAAACTGCATAGATTTGTGCAGCAGTCTAAGTGAAAAGAGATGATAGCTTTACTGAGACAGTGGTAGTAGGGAAGGAAAACAATGGGATGAACTCATCACTAATATTCCCTGTGCTTCCTTACATGAAGCCAATAAAATGCTTACTTTTCACATGCCACACCTGCTTTCTAGAAGTAGGTGGAACAATTAAATGCAGTTTAAATCCACTGCAACCCTGCTTGTATAGCAATACACATGGTTGCTGCTGTTAGAAGATTTCATATTACATCTTTAATTGTGGGTGTTTAGCAGACAGTCTCTTATTATTAAGATACTGCTGACTTTTACTGTCAATGTGGCCACAGGACAAAGCTAATAATTACCAGCACCAGAGGCAGCTTGTGGTTTTATATTACATTGAGGTAAATTACACTGGAATTAAAGTGGATTACTTTTATCAAATGGGGAATAAGCTGTTAATTAACTCCCCACTGTAGCAATCTTTTTCTGCACTTGCAAGTGTTATTAGGTCTAGATTAAACTGTTGAATTAATTTCCCACTTACTTACTATTTCCAGAGTTTTTAATGTACCTGGCAGCAGTTTTAATGGAAAATTGTATTAGTGAACATAAATTGTTTTGGGGAAGGGTAAACAGTTTGCAATAATGTTTATTAAGTTGTTTTGTTTGAGAAAAAATATAATTGCAGTTTTAATTAGTGCATGATAGTTGGAGTATTAGGTTGGAGATCACATTATGGTTTTCTGAGAAAACAATCACTCAGGTAATCCCAGAATTTATAAATGATAGCAAATAGAAAAGCTGTGTCAATACGGCATTGACTCAGATTTTATACCATATTTGAGGAAGAAAAATAGGAAACATCAAAGTGTTCTTCCTTCAGTTATCTTAAGGTTTATTGGCTGCTCTTGAATGTCACTATCTTCTGTGAGAAGTATATATTGATGTAGTACATATGAAGGGTTAAGTGAGAAAATTTTTAAAAATTAAGAGGTACAGATTTCTGTAAGGTAACATAAAAATGTGGAAATAAGGGAATGTATTTGTATAATCAATAAAATATTGTGATTTTTATAGCTATTTGTTAGAATTCCGGTAATATTATTTATCTTGTAATACAACCAATAATCGCACATTATGTTTGTATGGTGTTTTACAGAGGTGGGCCAATGGAACTTAGGAGAGACATGGGAGATAGCAGTGCATACTAAAAACTGAAGTCCTGAGAAAATAAAAGACTTTCCTAAGGACACAGAACTAGTGAGTGACTGGAGTAAGACAAAACATGAGACTGCTTACATGACTACATGTGTTCTCTTGGTCGGACATCTTACATTCCATTTATTTCTTAATTACATAATGTTGGGTCCCTTGGTCAATAATAAGCATTGTATCATATTTGCATTGTTATATCTCAAAATAGTCTGAAATCTTTCCCTTTGATAATATTAATATTACATTTTCAAATTAATTTCAAATTATTTTCAATATTACAATTATTGGATCTATACACAGCTGTTGTTTTATACCTAAACCCTGTATTACAACTAGTGGAACTATCAAGGTGGCAATACCCATGTAAGTGGTCAAGACCACAAAATTAATATATTATTCTTCTTTAACATTTACTTGAAATCCAAAAATAACTGTGATATGTCTTCATTGGTGCTATAACTGTACACAAAATAATAAAATTTCCTTAAAATTAGGTCAACGGCATTGACTCCTTTAAAACTCCCTACTATTTTGTAGAAATCCAATGATCAGTCTCTACTTAGTACCCATACCATACTTATAAAGTGTTGTCTATTTCAGGAAAAAAAAAAAGATAATTACCCTAAAGAAGGTGAACATGAGACAAAACTAGATTTCCCTCACTCCTTTCTTAAGAAACCTAGACCAATCTAAGTCTAGTGCAGCAAAATATAGTCATGAATTCCAAATATTCTGTATATTACTTTCAAGTTATCATTTGGCGATTTACAATTTCTACCTTCTAATATAAAGAGAAATGTTTATAGAATCATATTTATGTTGCTATCTTTTCACCTACCTGTTTCCAAGTAAATGTTGGATTTTGAATAAGGAAATTAAGTATTAGAAACATGCGTTCATGATGCAATACAGTTAAGGTATCAACATATCATGTAGTCATTAGAAATAATAACATGCAAAAGCAGAGTTCTAGAAGATCATGTGCCTTTTTGTAAACTGCATATTCATATACTTTACTCAAACAAAACCTTCCTAAGCTTGGATTAAAACTCTCTTGGATTAAAAACTAGAATACCAAAGTTTTATACATACACACAAAATATCTGTATGCACACACAGAGAGAAAACCTTAATTTGGTGAATTTATGTATGTATTATATGTGTATACAATTTTAAGCAGCATTAAATAGGGAGCTCAAATGTGAAATGCAGACCATTTAGATTAAGAGGTTTTGGAAAGATTGTTATGATTAGATATACTGTCTGGTTAAAATGAGAAAAGCTCTTCACTCCTCCAAACTTTCCTAATCCTTCTTTGCAAGCATATACCATTCATAAGTCACATAATTAGGATGGCATCCCACGTTCTTTCAAATGAAGTGAAATTGTGCTATCTTTTCTCAATGAAATAGACAATCTCATTGCCACAGATAAATTGAGAAGGAAAAAAGGAAGAAGAAATAAATAAAACAAATTTTACTGGCAAAAAACAAAACAAAACAAAACAAAAAACATGTGTCACCTTCTTGAAAACTCAACCATCCTGACAGGCCACAGTACAATAGTTACTATTAATACCTGGCCACCCCCATGAAAAGAAAAATGAGAAAATATCATCTTGCTCCCAAATATCAAAAAATGAATAAAAAAAGAAGTATGTGTTGGTGGGAAGCTTTACCTTTGGAATATAAATTCATTTTTATAACACCTTCAAAAGATTTTTTTTTTTATGTTTCATTTTCCATTTATTTATTGTTCTTATATAGAGATGCAATTGATTCCATATATTGATTTGGCATCCTGAATCCTTGCTGAATTCTCTTTTTTTTTTTTTTTTTTTAATTCTACTTTAAGTTTTAGGGTACATGTGCACAATGTGCAGGTTAGTTACATATGTATACATGTGCCATGCTGGTGCACTGCACCCACTAACGTGTCATCTAGCATTAGGTATATCTCCCAATGCTATCCCTCCCCCCTCCCCCGACCCCACCACAGTCCCCAGAGTGTGATATTCCCCTTCTTGTGTCCATGTGATCTCATTGTTCAATTCCCACCTATGAGTGAGAATATGCGGTGTTTGGTTTTTTGTTCTTGCGATAGTTTACTGAGAATGATGGTTTCCAATTTCATCCATGTCCCTACAAAGGACATGAACTCATCATTTTTTATGGCTGCATAGTATTCCATGGTGTATATGTGCCACATTTTCTTAATCCAGTCTATCATTGTTGGACATTTGGGTTGGTTCCAAGTCTTTGCTATTGTGAATAATGCCGCAATAAACATACGTGTGCATGTGTCTTTATAGCAGCATGATTTATAGTCATTTGGGTATATACCCAGTAATGGGATGGCTGGGTCAAATGGTATTTCTAGTTCTAGATCCCTGAGGAATCGCCACACTGACTTCCACAATGGTTGAACTAGTTTACAGTCCCACCAACAGTGTAAAAGTGTTCCTATTTCTCCACATCCTCTCCAGCACCTGTTGTTTCCTGACTTTTTAATGATTGCCATTCTAACTGGTGTGAGATGATATCTCATAGTGGTTTTGATTTGCATTTCTCTGATGGCCAGTGATGATGAGCATTTTTTCATGTGTTTTTTGGCTGCATAAATGTCTTCTTTTGAGAAGTGTCTGTTCATGTCCTTCGCCCACTTTTTGATGGGGTTGTTTGTTTTTTTCTTGTAAATTTGTTTGAGTTCATTGTAGATTCTGGATATTAGCCCTTTGTCAGATGAGTAGGTTGTGAAAATTTTCTCCCATGTTGTAGGTTGCCTGTTCACTCTGATGGTAGTTTCTTTTGCTGTGCAGAAGCTCTTTAGTTTAATTAGATCCCATTTGTCAATTTTGGCTTTTGTTGCCATTGCTTTTGGTGTTTTGGACATGAAGTCCTTGCCCACGCCTATGTCCTGAATGGTAATGCCTAGGTTTTCTTCTAGGGTTTTTATGGTTTTAGGTCTAACGTTTAAATCTTTAATCCATCTTGAATTGATTTTTGTATAAGGTGTAAGGAAGGGATCCATTTTCAGCTTTCTACATATGGCTAGCCAGTTTTCCCAGCACCATTTATTAAATAGGGAATCCTTTCCCCATTGCTTGTTTTTCTCAGGTTTGTCAAAGATCAGATAGTTGTAGATATGCGGCATTATTTCTGAGGGCTCTGTTCTGTTCCATTGATCTATATCTCTGTTTTGGTACCAGTACCATGCTGTTTTGGTTACTGTAGCCTTCCCCAATCTAGCAAGGCAGGCCAACTTTCAGATTCAGGAAATACAGAGAACGCCACAAAGATACTCCTCAAGAAGAGCAACTCCAAGACACATAATTGTCAGATTCACCAAAGTTGAAATGAAGGAAAAAATGTTAAGGGCAGCCAGAGAGAAAGGTCGGGTTACCCTCAAAGGAAAGCCCATCAGACTAACAGCGGATCTCTCGGCAGAAACCCTACAAGCCAGAAGAGAGTGGGGGCCAATATTCAACATTCTTAAAGAAAAGAATTTTCAACCCAGAATTTCATATCCAGCCAAACTAAGCTTCATAAGTGAAGGAGAAATAAAATACTTTATAGACAAGCAAATGCTGAGAGATTTTGTCACCACCAGGCCTGCCCTAAAAGAGCTCCTGAAGGAAGCGCTAAACATGGAAAGGAACAACCGGTACCAGCCACTGCAAAATCATGCCAAAATGTAAAGACCATCGAGACTAGGAAGAAACTGCATCAACTAACGAGCAAAATAACCAGCTAACATCATAATGACAGGATCAAATTCACACATAACAATATTAACTTTAAATATAAATGGACTAAATTCTGCAATTAAAAGACACAGACTGGCAAATTGGATAAAGAATCAAGACCCATCAGTGTGCTGTATTCAGGAAACCCATCTCACGTGCAGAGACACACATAGGCTCAAAATAAAAGGATGGAGGAAGATCTACCAAGCCAATGGAAAACAAAAAAAGGCAGGGGTTGCAATCCTAGTCTCTGATAAAACAGACTTTAAACCAACAAAGATCAAAAGAGACAAAGAAGGCCATTACATAATGGTAAAGGGATCAATTCAACAAGAGGAGCTAACTATCCTAAATATTTATGCACCCAATACAAGAGCACCCAGATTCATAAAGCAAGTCCTGAGTGACCTACAAAGAGACTTAGACTCCCACACATTAATAATGGGAGACTTTAACACCCCACTGTCAACATTAGACAGATCAACGAGACAGAAAGTCAACAAGGATACCCAGGAATTGAACTCAGCTCTGCACCAAGCGGACCTAATAGACATCTACAGAACTCTCCACCCCAAATCAACAGAATATACATTTTTTTCAGCACCACACCACACCTATTCCAAAATTGACCACATAGTTGGAAGTAAAGCTCTCCTCAGCAAATGTAAAAGAACAGAAATTATAACAAACTATCTCTCAGACCACAGTGCAATCAAACTAGAACTCAGGATTAAGAATCTCACTCAAAGCCGCTCAACTACATGGAATCTGAACAACCTGCTCCTGAATGACTACTGGGTACATAACGAAATGAAGGCAGAAATAAAGATGTTCTTTGAAACCAACGAGAACAAAGACACCACATACCAGAATCTCTGGGACGCATTCAAAGCAGTGTGTAGAGGGAAATTTATAGCACTAAATGCCTACAAGAGAAAGCAGGAAAGATCCAAAATTGACACCCTAACATCACAATTAAAAGAACTAGAAAAGCAAGAGCAAACACATTCAAAAGCTAGCAGAAGGCAAGAAATAACTAAAATCAGAGCAGAACTGAAGGAAATAGAGACACAAAAAACCCTTCAAAAAATCAATGAATCCAGGAGCTGGTTTTTTGAAAGGATCAACAAAATTGATAGACCGCTAGCAAGACTAATAAAGAAAAAAAGAGAGAAGAATCAAATAGACACAATAAAAAATGATAAAGGGGATATCACCACCGATCCCACAGAAATACAAACTACCATCAGAGAATACTACAAACACCTCTACGCAAATAAACTAGAAAATCTAGAAGAAATGGATACATTCCTCGACACATACACTCTCCCAAGACTAAACCAGGAAGAAGTTGAATCTCTGAATAGACCAATAACAGGCTCTGAAATTGTGGCAATAATCAATAGTTTACCAACCAAAAAGAGTCCAGGACCAGATGGATTCACAGCCGAATTCTACCAGAGGTACAAGGAGGAACTGGTACCATTCCTTCTGAAACTATTCCAATCAATAGAAAAAGAGGGAATCTTCCCTAACTCATTTTATGAGGCCAGCATCATTCTGATACCAAAGCCGGGCAGAGACACAACCAAAAAAGAGAATTTTAGACCAATATCCTTGATGAACATTGATGCAAAAATCCTCAATAAAATACTGGCAAACCGAATCCAGCAGCACATCAAAAAGCTTATCCACCATGATCAAGTGGGCTTCATCGCTGGGATGCAAGGCTGGTTCAATATACGCAAATCAATAAATGTAATCCCGCATATAAACAGAGCCAAAGACAAAAACCACATGATTATCTCAATAGATGCAGAAAAAGCCTTTGACAAAATTCAACAACCCTTCATGCTAAAAACTCTCAATAAATTAGGTATTGATGGGACGTATTTCAAAATAATAAGAGCTATCTATGACAAACCCACAGCCAATATCATACTGAATGGGCAAAAACTGGAAGCATTCCCTTTGAAAACTGGCACAAGACAGGGATGCCCTCTCTCACCGCTCCTATTCAACATAGTGTTGGAAGTTCTGGACAGGGCAATCAGGCAGGAGAAGGAAATAAAGGGTATTCAATTAGGAAAAGAGGAAGTCAAATTGTCCCTGTTTGCAGACGACATGATTGTTTATCT
Organism: Homo sapiens; assembly: GCF_000001405.40. Lineage (NCBI taxonomy): Eukaryota > Metazoa > Chordata > Mammalia > Primates > Hominidae > Homo > Homo sapiens. The sequence goes on along the minus strand of NC_000023.11, from coordinate 86,557,858 downwards.
AGAAAACCCCATCGTCTCAGCCCAAAATCTCCTTAAGCTGATAAGCAACTTCAGCAAAGTCTCAGGATACAAAATCAATGTACAAAAATCACAAGCATTCTTATACACCAACAACAGACAAACAGCCAAATCATGAGTGAACTCCCATTCACAATTGCTTCAAAGAGAATAAAATACCTAGGAATCCAACTTACAAGGGATGTGAAGGACCTCTTCAAGGAGAACTACAAACCACTGCTCAAGGAAATAAAAGAGGACACAAACAAATGGAAGAACATTCCATGCTCATGGGTAGGAAGAATCAATATCGTGAAAATGGCCATACTGCCCAAGGTAATTTACAGATTCAATGCCATCCCCATCAAGCTACCAATGCCTTTCTTCACAGAATTGGAAAAAACTACTTTAAAGTTCATATGGAACCAAAAAAGAGCCCGCATCGCCAAGTCAATCCTAAGCCAAAAGAACAAAGCTGGAGGCATCACACTACCTGACTTCAAAAGATTTTTTAAAAGCCCACCCACATGTTGTGATGGTTAATTTATGAGTTCACTTGACTGTGTTAAGGAATACACAGATAGCTGATAAAACATTATTTCTGGATGTGTCTGTGAGGGTGTTTCAGGAAAAGTTTAGCATTTGAATCAGTAAGCTTAGTAAAGGAGATCCACCCTTACCAATGTGGGTAGATATCCCATCCTCTGAGGGCCAAGATAGAACAAAAAGGAAGAGGAAAGATGAATTTGCTTTTGTTTCAGTTGCACCATCCATCCTTTCCTGCCCTCAGGTACCTGAACTCTTTGCACTCAGGCCTTCAGACTCCTGGACTTATACCAGCAGCCCCCTTCAGTTCTCAGACCTTGATGTAGATCTTAGAGTTATGCCATAGGCTCCCTGGTTCTCAGGCCTTCACACTCGGACTGAATTACATCACTGGCTTTCCTAGTTCTCTAGCTTGCAGACAGCATATCGCAAGACTTCTCAGCCTCCGTAACTGCATGAGCAAATTCCCGTAGTACATTTCTTCTTCTCTCTCTCTCTCTCTCTCTCTCTCTCTCTCTCTATATATATATATATATATATATATATATATATATATATACATATCCTATTGGTTCTGTTTCTCTGTAGAACTCTGACTAATACACATCTCTCACCTAATTTTATTATCCCAATGACCCATATGCAGAGACTATCATTCCCATCTGATAGATGATACAACAATAAAGTTAAGTGATTTACCTCAGTTCAAAATCTGGCTAAAGGTGCATCAAGGACTAGAAACAGCTCATTATCTTTCTGTGATTCTTATATTCTACACTAACTAGCAGATACCAAAACAGGGCCTTTCTTTTGGCCAATATTTAGAACTTGAGAAAAGTAATGTGGCCTAGTATTTAAGAACCCAATCTTTGAAAAGCCAGTTATATTTGGCACTGATTCACTAGCAGTGTGACGTCTAGGAGCTTCTCTGTTTCCTCATCTACACAAAAGAGATAATGAACGCTTACCTCATAGTTCTTACGGGAGTTAAATGAGATAAGAGATGTAAAGCACCTAGCACTCTTATTCCAGAACAGGCAACGATTGGCTTTCTAGGTCGATAAATGAGAGTTAGGCCCTCCCCACCATTGTATGACCCTATTGAGAGGCTTCCTTGTATGAAAAACAGGAGAGCTTCCCCTATTGCAAGCTTTCTAGTACTTCTAGGATTCTATGAGTTCTGTTATTAAAATGAATAAAGGCATCTGAAGCATACAGAAAACATGTCATTAAATTGGCAAATGCCTCTCTTTTACTCATCATCACATAAGGTATTTTGGGAGTCTGTGGGATGAAATAGCTATGGCACGAATCATAGTTTCTGTATTGGTTGGGAAATCTTGCTATTAAAATCTAATTTAGATATTTTAGATGCCGGCATTAAAGTATATATTAACTGAGTAACCATGATGGGCTTAAAAACTGAAAATAAATTGTGCTTCACATGATATTAGCATTATTTCCCCTGGTACTGCATTAAAATCCAGAGGGATGGACACGTTACCCACCATCAAAAGCTCTAAAATATTTATGTTACATTTTTTTAAATGCATACAAAAATGTCCTATTGGAGTTTATTCAATTAATTGTAGTTTCTAATTTATAAAGTTTTCACTATTTAAACAAAGGAAAATGAGAATTAAAATGCATTTGAAGACATAACGTGCCGATACCCAACACAATTTTACAACCTATTTAATATTCAAGTGATTTAAAAAATATTTGCTTAAAATAGTAAAATACCCAAAACTAACAGTTTTGCTAAATTACATTTTTATGACATGATCTCAATTAGCAGTTTTCCTCTCCAAGATATAAATTATGCTTTAAATTGTACAAAACTACAGGATGATAGAAATTAGAAGACTTTTTCCAAATGGTGGCTGCCTGCACATCTGATAGCGTACATAGCACTAGGACCTCCAGAATGATTTACTCTTGTAAATATTGAAAACATTAACTCCTGAGAACATATGTGAGCTTCAAAACATATTGATCACATGTGAAAAGACAACTTTCTACAAAACTCATTACTTTTACATTTAATATAGACAAATCCAAGAATTACAAATAATAAAATGTTTTCAGTATGCATGTGATTCTGGATAGCTTTGAAGTCATTATAAGTATCCTGTGGCGTTACTTAAGATATTATGCTATAGCATGAGGAACCTGTTACACTGCAGGTGTGTTGATTTATTCCATATGTTATAAACCATCTGGGTATAAACAGTGGATGAATAATACATTTTGGTGGTAATGAAATATATTTTATAGTTCAAGAAAAAAAATTGAGCTCATCATGAGCTAGACTATAATATCCATAAAATCAAAATGTTTTTCTTCATTTTCCAACAAAATCTATTTTCTTATTCCAAAATGTAGCCTACAGTAATAGTAAAGCATTAATTGACAAAAAGCAAAGAAATTCAAAGCAATATTTTTAAAAAATATACCACATACAGTATTTTGCATCATTCAAAACGCTTTCACATATGATTTAAATATTCATATGCAATTCATAACAAGGTAAGAAATAAGCAGGGCAAGCATGACTATCTACATGTTACAGAGAAGAAAAAATATTCCTTGGAGAAGATAAATGGCTTATCAGAAACAATACTTAATTGGTCGTTAGATAGGACTCAATCCAATCTCATTCTATGGCATCATATTGCCGTAACAGAGTCAGAAGATAAGAAACATTTTGGTACTCTCCAAGTTATAATTGAAGTTAGCATAAATACTTCCTTTTGTCCAGCTGCATCCTAATCCATCAATTATAATTAGAATAATATATGACATGATTTATTTCATAAAAGACATATTACTATATGCTATATATGCCCCTGTGTAAAAAATCTGTAGAACTTTCTATCTGATATATTGTTTCCAGCTTCAGTATATGCATGACAAACAACTTAATAATAAAACGAGTGACCATTTAAAATCTTGAGACTAAAACACAAAATACATTTCCACAAAGATGATAGAAACACTTACTTCATATATGTTGTCGTTGTTTTTGTTATATACAGATTGTTACTATTAATAATATCATTATTGTTATGTGCAGACTGCCTCTGGGTGATATTATTACACCATTCTACTTGATACTTACAAAAGCCATACAAAATCCAACTAAAGCATCAAAACTCTTGTATTAACTTCTCATTTGTGTTCATACATTTATGTAACACAAAATATATGAGTTATCAAATGTTTCTAAATTAGCTACATTATAGAAACACATATTATGCCATACACACACACACACATGCAAGCATACACACAAACACGCACACACACACAAGAAACTTGCTGTAAAGCACATTGTCAAGCAAAAAAAAAATTATCCTGAGCAGTCACTGGATAAGGTGCTCTGACCTCAGTACTCAGACATGTGTTGTGGAGTTTTTTTCCCTATAGTTACCCATGAATCATTTGTATTTGGCAAATATGGTTAAGAAGTGTTTATAAACTCATGATCAAGAAAGGCTGTTTGCCATGGGGGTGATCCCAGTAACCTGGAAGTAGGTAGGAATCAGTGGTTTACACATCTGACCTTTATAGTTGATCATTTGAAATGAGCCCTATCGAATTCATTTGATTTCTAAACATATCTACATACATACAAAACTTTCCTACCTACCTACAAAATGTCTAAACTCATCTACTTACCATTAACTATGAACATTTATGCTTTTTCTCTCTGTATGATGGTTAATATTGAGTGTCAACTTCAGGATTATGTGTATGGGTTCAAGTTGACAAGAGGTGAACTTGTGATAATTAATAATGAGTGTCAACTTGATTGCATTGAAGGATGCAAAGTATTGTTCCTGGGTGTGTCTGTGACGATGTTGCCAAAGGAGATTAACATTTGAGTCGGTGGACTGGTGGAGGCAGACCCACCCTCAATCTGAGTGGGCACCATCTAATCAGCTGCCAGCATGGCTAGAATAAAGAAGGCAGAAGAAGGTGGAAGAAGCAGACTTGCTGAGTCTTCCGGCCTTCATCTTTCTCCCATGCTGGTTGCTTCCTGCCCTTCAACATCAGACTCCAAGTTCTTCAGCTTTTGGACTCTTGGACTTACACCAGTGATTTGCCAGGGGCTCTAGGGATTTTGGCCACAGACTGAAGGCTGCACCGTCGGCTTCCCTACTTTTGAGATTTTGGGATGCGGGCTGGCTTCCTTGCTCCTCAGCTTTCATATGGCCTATTGTGGGACTTCACCTCGTGATTGTGTGAGTCAATATTCCTTAATAAATTCCCCTTCATATATACATCTATCCTATTAGTTCTGCCCCTCTAGGGAACCCTGACTAGTACACTTTGAAATAAGCTCTTATCCCTCAATGTGTCTGTTGTTTGGTCCCTGATTATATACTATGCTGTGTAACATCTGATGCATATTTAGTCATTAAAATGTACTACATAAATAACAATAAACACCACTATATTGGGAACATTTTTTGCTTCCCTATGGGTCTTTCAATGCTGTCAAACTGCTACCATATACTTAACATAGAAGCCAGGAATGTCAATTATTAAAAAAAAATAACCATTGTATTAAATTAGATTCACATTGGCTCTAGGTTCTATGTGTAACAAATCTTGCTATACAATTAATGAAGGCATTTCTCAATAAAATTATAGTACACTTGACTACATGTGCAGCTAAAGTCAGGCATACCATGCATTTTCATAGCATGCACTGCATTGTTACTTACAAATTTTTAAATGCTCAAAATTTCTCATTAAAGCAATTCCAAGTTGTTTTGCGTTTTAATCTTCCCTAAGAAGAGGTCCATCCTTAACTCCCTCATTAGTTGTGCTGCCTGGGGTGCTTTGCAATAATGCCCATGCCTAATGCAATGAATAGAAACATATAAGTAAATACGTCTTTAGTGCTTCACATTGTGATAATAGGGAAAAAACTGAGGTACATGATGTTTTACTTTATGGCTGTTTTAGCATGGAAAGGGTGAAGATCAATGTTTGGTGCAACAATGCCTCCAACTTTTTAGATTCAACTTAGTATTACAATTGTCTCCATAGAAGATCTGAAATGAGGTGGTCTACTATGTATTATATGTCTCTTTATATTCACGTCGAGAAATGTTGAATTAAAGGTATTGGCTAAAAAAGAGAAAGAGTCAGTAATAAGGTTACAATTCCTTTCCATACATGTGAAACCCCAAGACACTCATAGATCAATTTACTCATATAAAGATTAGCTGGTTTAATAAGAAAGATAACTGTATAGTTTATTTTTCAAACAAAAACACTTTAGATAGTGATAAAACACTAAACTAGATAGGGCATCAAAACAGACATAAACCAAAAATATCTCAGGAAAATAAATCACCCTAGGTATAAAACATGAGATTCTCCTAAAATTAAATTGACAGAGAACCAAGAAACACTTAGAACCACACTTGTATACATTGAAAGCTTCAAAGTTCCACAACCTGGGGAAAGCACACTCATATCAAAGTTTCTACTAACTGCTTATCTGAGCCATTTTTACAAGATTGAGAAATGATAAGCAGATTGGATTTAAGTCATCAGAAAGGAAGTTGCATGTTGAGGTGAAAAGAAAATATCAACACAAAATACAAGTTACTGATCTGCTACAGAAAGAATGTATTTAGAATTGCCTGTATAAGAGGCTTGGCATCTAATATCATACCTTTCTAATGTAACTCGTAACAAGGAAAAGAAGTTTCAACATAGTTAGATGCAAAATGTCAACAGAAACTCTCCCTGGTGACATTTAGCAATGCTAGTAATCCTCAAGAGATGGAGATACCACTCTTACATCTTGTCGTAAAATTGTTTATTAACTCAATTGAGAATTTCTAAATAATTTCTTAAGTTAGTCACAGAGTGACAGTCAAGACCATGGGACAAAAAGCTGTGAACATAACTCAGAGTCAGCAGTATTCTGTATGAGTTAGGTATGCTGTAATATTCAAGGATGCCTTCAAATTCTAATGGTTTCAAGTTGCTCTGAACTCCAGCAGCAATCAAAAATAATCTGTCATGGGACCAAGGGCTATGAACATCATGTCATAGGCACTCTGCTATTATATTTATTGGAGGATAAAGCATGCCATTTATGCATCAACTCACAAGAGAAAAAAGCAATTCCTATGAAGTTAATCTAATAATAGACTGGAAAGCAATGATTACCGTTTCATGTACACTAGATATTTGTAGCAGTGGTTGGCCTAATTTTGCAGGCCTCGCTTGTCAGAGCTTTGAGATTAACAAGTGTTCAGCTCAAAATCTATTGGGAAACATCAATAAATGATTTAATGAGGAACAAACCTTTCATTTCTTGCCACTGAAAGGACACTGAAGCCATATTCCCCCTTTGCACCCTTCACTTTTTAAAAGCTTGTTGAAACAGTCATATACTCCACGTAAGACAACCTTTAGGAATTACATTTATCAGGTACACAACAATTAGGCCATTTTTTTCCACATGGTGCTCAACAGTTTCCACAGCAAAGGTCTAACTTTTAGTCAGTCTTCTGGCTGTAGAACCCAAACACCTGATGAAAGTATAAACCATGGAACTTCGCATAGGGCACTTTCTTTTTGTAACTGGTAAAGAGAAAACAAACAGCATTACCCACAGACTGTCTTTTACCCATAAAAATCTCTGGGTGCAGAATTTTTTCCTCTAGGAAGGCCAATGACATCAGATTGTTACAACCTGAGAATAGCACAGGGACCTCATGACATGGCCCTAGTATGAAGAAAAATAAAGGACTTTTGGTGGCCTTGTGATTTAATAGAGTTTTCACTGCTAAGTTAAACAGTGAAAAATGACCGATTATGCAACAGAATACTTTATTACATTTATCTAATAGTTTACTCCTAGAAGCTGTTATTCTACACTTAACATACTCAAACATTTCTACCACCTTGCCATGAAGAAAAACCCCAAACATACTAATTTCAAATAAATTTTTTCCATAAATAAAATTCAATTCTCTCCTATAAGATACTGCAAAATTCCAAAAATGTAAAACAAAACTATTCAAAATTATCCTCTCTATTCTTTCTTTATTGGCTTGAATACTTTTCATATGCTTCACCTCAAGTTCAAAAATATCAAAATGCATCTTTCATTATGATTTTCTTTGTATCACCAAGAATTATGCAACACTCAAATTCTATCTCACTAGTGTATAACATTTTGCATTCAGAAGTGACATCCATTAGATTCCAAGGGTTACAATTATCAATACAGAGATTACTGCAATTATCTTTACAGATATACACATTTATGAGCCAAGAAAATAAGCCTCATCTTTGATTGATAAATAACAGTCTTCAAAGAAACTGTTGATTGAGGACTATTTACATTATGAGTATAAATCTAGTCATTTATTAAATGTAAGTATTGATTGACTAATAATAATTTTTAGTTAATGTATTCCTTGGCTGCAAAAAAACTGTTTATAGAAATTAAATTGAAAAGTGAAAGTTAAAATTAATCAAACACAATTAATTTTTTCTAAATACATTTTATCATCTAAATAACTATTCTTAAAAATACACCAGTAATGTCAGATGTGGATTTAATAAAATGTTTTAATTTTGACTACATTTTCACTATACTTTTAGTGATTTTCCAGGTACAAAAAGTCTTCAGAACTTCAAAATTGTTATAGAGAAAAATATCGTTTTTTCAGAGAAAGGCAAAAATAAAAATTTAATTTAAAAAAATATAAATAGTATTCGTAACTTATACCTGAAAGAATATAAAAGAAAAAAAAAGGCTTTCTCTCCTGATTTCTGTATCAGAAATAATTGTACATTTAAAATAAGATTTTAAATATTCCATGTTTCTCTTACATGTTACTAGAGTTCTATGAATCTATACTTACAAATTGTGCAAAACTCTATTAAACATGCCAAAGACTATTTCTTGATAATGGCCTTATGGATCTAAACTGTGCTGTCTCAAGGGAAAATATTATCATTATTATTTTTTAAACATGTATCATATTATTTGGATACCTGTTCCAAGAGAAAAGAGTTCATACATGTGTATCTCAAAATACACAAATGTCTTATCAAACAAAATATGTAGAACATGAGATTTTTTTCCCAGCCATTAACCTAAAGAAATGCATGTGTGTGACATCTAACATGTGACATATAATATCTGACATGATAGCTCACCCACTTCTGCAAATACCATCTAGTTTTGTTAAATGAATATGTATAGGCAGAAATCCCTCAACAATTCAACTGCCATTTCCCTCCTCCAAGATTTAAGGGGCATTCTCTAATAGGAGAATAAATCTTCACAGAATCTGTTAGATCACTCAAAAAATGCTCCCTGTCATGGAAATATAAGCAAATATTTGCTATTCTTTAAAACATTGGTCTCAAGTTCAGGTTTTTGATTGCCCCAAAATAGTACATTTTCCTCTTATGTATCACGAAATAAGCAGAAGTGAACAGAAAACTACATGTTATACAAATTATTTGTTAAGTATTTTAAGATGGTTGGTATAAATACTTTATCCCATTCAAATGGCAAATAAAGAAGTTGATAGACATATAAAACTCTAAAGCACACCTTAAGTTTCCACACACATGCACACAAGATGCTGTCTTTTGGTATTCTCTAACTTAAGGAAAATGGGTTTCACGTGTCAGTAGTATTCATGAATAAATACTCCCCAGCTTGTTAATGACAATGATAACAATGACTGTTAATAAGCATAAAATTTGAGCCAGAAATTCAAAAGTATATAAGGAACTGCATGGAGATTTGTTTCACAGACGGACAAGAGGAACTGTGTGACTAAGCAACTGTAAATTATTTCTCACTTAAGAATCTGCATTTAATCAATTTCCCGTTTTCTGAAGTTTAAATGTCTGTAATTCTATTAAGAAAAATTTAGTAGAAGTAAAATTTCATTAAATCTCATCTTATTTAATCTTTTCTTTCCTATTGTACCTCATTTTAAAATCACAAGCATTGCCTTGTATCTCCCAGCAATATGGATCATAAAAAATTTTGGATGTTTGTTAAATGAATTGGAAATCTAAAATATTTTAACACTACTAGATCAGAAAGTTGCATATCTAAACCTGCCCAAGCACGTGAGCTAATTCACATCCACTAAGTAGATTAGCTGAAATAAGCATAATAAATGAAAGAGAATAAAATAAAAAACAATTTCACACTAAGTGAAGGCTTGACTTATAGGAAGTGGCAGTTCTGATGGCCCAAGGCATAGAATTAGTTTTGCCACTCAATAATTTGACTGATTCACTCGAGTGGCCAGAAGAGGACATTTTCTGCCTGATTTCAGTATAATCAAGTCACCTGCTCAGCAATTGCTGGGGCCAAGACAATTGCACTCCACTGAGCACAGAGTGTGTGCAGGGAGTAACAAGAACAGCAGCTTTCTGCATACATGTGCAGAACTACTGAGCATTAATGACAGTCAGAATTAACTCTTCCTAATGCAGTATTATGCTTTCCTTTCCATATTAAATGTAATGTGAAATGGAGCTAGCCATTTTACATCCTCAAGTAACCACCCTTCCCAATCAGCGCTAATGGTATGTTCTCTTCCTTTACTAGTAGATTTTAAAATACGTGTTTAAAATGAGCTACAAATGAACAAAAGAAAACACTTTAAGTGACACTCTGAATCAAATAAAATTGAATCATTTCTATAATGTGTTTCACTATAGGCAGCTGTGGTGTGTGTGTGTGTGTGTGTGTGTGTGTGTGTGTGTGTGTGTGTTCTGCAGCACGTTAGGTTTCATTTTCTCTAAAATGTGAAATGGCACCATACTAACATAATGCAAGATAACAAATCCAATGACAAAGTCGAAATGATCTTCAGTGAGAAAATAACAAAGAATTATAAATCCAAACCTTTACTAACAAAAAGTGATCTTTGCAAAATTTATTTCTATCTGTTAGAGATACATAATAGTCCCACTGGCCAATGAAATTTTTTAATTTTATCTAAGGAAACTCCCCGGGTTTCATTTAATTGCCATGCACATTGGAGGTATTCAATAAAGTTTTACTGAACCCATCTGTTGTGTTTCCACAGGTTGACCTATTTCTTTACATAATCGGGATTCTCTCTGACATGTCAAAGGGGCTTCGGACAAAACAACTGGATTGGGGCACTGGAGGGTTTCATGTTGTTCTCACTCTTATACTAAAAACAGGGGTATCTAATTCACAGGTGCATGGCCTGAATTTATCTACACTTTACTGGTATAGTGGGTCCAGATAAAGGGGATTAGAAGGTGAAGATGACACAACCAGGGCAAGGGAGGACAGGGTCAAGTCTTGTAGTGCTAATCATTAAAAACAAGTGAAAATGGGCGCAGTTCAGAAGGCTTATAACCTGCAAAAAAGTAGGTAAGTAGATATTTTCAAACAGTAGTTTGAAAATACGAGGCATCTGCCCCATGATCCAGTTTGAAAGGGAGGTGTTGGCTGGGCGCAGTGGCTGAAGCCTGTAATTCCAGCACTTTGGGAGGCCGAGGCTGGCAGATCACAAGTTCAGGAGATTGAGACCATCCTGGCCAACATGGTGAAACCCCTTCTCTACTAAAAATACAAAAAAATTAGACAGGTTGGTGGCACGCGCCTGTAATCCCAGCTACTCGGGAGGCTGAGGCAGGAGAATCGCTTGGACCCGGGACGCAGAGGTTGCAGTGAGCCGAGATTGCACCATTGCACTACGGCCTGGGTGACAGTGGGAGACAGAACAAGACTCTGTCTTAAAAAAAAAAAAAAAAAAAGAAAGAAGAAGAAGAAGAGGAAGAAGAGGAAGAATAAGAGGTAGAAGAGGAAGAGGAAGAAGAAGAAGAGGAAGAAGAAGAAGAAAGAAGAAGAAGAAGGAAGAAGAAGAAGAAGAAGAAGAAGAAGAAGAAGAAGAAGAAGAAGAGGAAGAAGAAGAAGAAGAGGAAGAAGAAGAAGAAGAAAGAGGTAGGAGGTATTGGGGAGTTCTCAAATACAAGATCAGCTCATGGAGCCAAACATTGAACATCTACTCCCTTAGGTTAAATCCATCTGCTGGTGGAATTTTGGTGGAATTTTGAAAACAGTTTATTTCAAGAGCACAGCCAATCCATCTGCGCATGAATTATTCCCACATTAATTGACCATTCAAGGAAAAAAACCTGCTGCAAAAAACTGGAAAATAAAATATATTATTAAATTCCATCTAAATTGCCATTACTTCAGCCCTTCAGCCAATGTTTTATTTCATATTCTGTGATACAATTCACCCATATTTTTCATAGGAATAATTAGGTCAACAGCCTTGTAAACCATCTATAGTAATAAATGAAAATGTGATCTTGCCTAATTTAATAACAAAGTTTAGAAATGTTCTTTCAATATGCCAAGACTTATGATTATCATCTCTTCCATTTCTTGAAGTTATTATCTTCCTTTCATGGTTTGCTTTTAAAACAGCCTGTATTTCTCAGGTATAAAAATATTATGTAATATAATCAACCCTTAATAAAGTTTCTTTTCCCTAAAAATGTTTCATTTCTCATTTAAATTATAAACATTGAAAAATAGTAACATTATGAAACTACTTACCAGAATAAACTGAGTGGGAAGAAACATTTGACCTTTATGAAAATGACTGTGGACTCTAAACCACTTTAAAATCCTTGTCCTTAGTTATGTTTTTAAGACTGGAGACATTACATTAAATGATTTTAATTAATTTTAATTTTTTAACTCTTACTTTCAGTTCAGGGGTACATATGCATGTTTGTTATCTAGGTAAACTGCACATCACAAGGGTTTGTATACAGATTATTTCATCACCCAGGTAATAAGCATAGTATCTAATAGGTAGTTTTTTTTATCTTCACCCTCCACCCTCAAGTAGGCCCTGGTGTCTGTTGCTCCCTTCTTTGTGTCCATATATACTCAATGTTCAGCTCCAAATTGTAAGTTAGAACATGTGGTGTTTGGTTTTCTGTTCCTGTGTTAGTTTGCTTAAGGTAATGGTCACCAACTCCATCCATGTTACTACAAAGGACAAGATCTCTTTTATTTTATGGATGTGTAGTATTCCATGATGTATATGTACTACATTTTCTTAATCAAATCTCCTGTTGGTGGGCTTTTCGGTTGATTCTATGTCTTTGCTACTGTGAATACTGCTGCAATGAAAATACTCATGCAAGGCGATGCATGGTGGCTCATGCCTGTAATCCCAGCAGTTTGGGAGTCCCAGGTGGGTGGATCACCGGAGGTCAGGAATTCGAGACCAGCCTGGCCAACATGGCAAAACCCCCTCTCTACTAAAAATACAAAAATTATCTGGGCACACATCAGCAATCCCAGCTATTCGGGAAGTTGAGGCAAGAGAATTGCTTGAACCCAGGGGGTGGAGATATCAAATCATTAGGTCTTGCTTTTTTATCTAATTGTCGCTTGTATGACTTTGAGTTGGGGCATTTAGCCTATTTACATTCAAGGTTAATATTGGCATGCGCGGATTTGATCCCATCATAGTGTTGTTAGCTGGGTATTATGCAGACCTGTTTGTGTTGTTGCTGCATAGTGTCAATAGTCTTTGTACTTAGTGTGTTTTAGTAGTGGCTGGTAAGGGTTTTTCCTTTCCATGTTTAGCACTCACTTCAGGACCTCTTGTAAGGCCTGTCTGGTGGTAACAAATTCCCCTAACTTTTGCTTGTCAGACAAGAATCTTATTTCTCCTTCACTTATGAAGCTTAGTTTGGCCAGAAATAAAATTCTTAGTTGGAATTTCTTTTCTTTAAGAATGCTGAATATAGGCCCTTAATCTCTTTTGGCTTGTAAGGTTTCTGCTGAAAGGCATGCTGTTAGCCTGATGGGGTTCCCTTTGTAGGTAACAAGCCCCTTCTTTCTAGCTGATTTTAACATGTTTTCTTTCATGTTTACTTTGGATAATCTGATGACTATATGTCTTAGGGATTGTTGTCTGGTACAGTATTTTGCAGGGGTTCTCTCAATTTCCTGAATTTGAATGTTGGTCTCTGTAGTGAGATTGGGGAAATTTTCATACACAATATCCTGAATTATGCTTCCCAGTTGCTTTCTCTCCCTGTCTTGGGATGCCAATGAGTCATACATTTGGTCTCTTTACATCATCTCATATTTCTTGGAGATTTTGTTCATTCTTCTTTAATCTTTTTTCTTTATTATTGTCTGAATAGGTTATTTCAGAGAATCATTCTTTGAGCTCTGAGAGTATTTCCTCAGCTTGGTCCATTCTGCTAAAACTTGCAACTGTATTCTTTTTTTATTATTATTATACTTTAAGTTTTAGGGTACATGTGCACAATGTGCAGGTTAGTTACATATGTATACATGTGCCATGCTGGTGCGCTGCACCCACTAACTCGTCATCTAGCATTAGGTATATCTCCCAATGCTATCCCTCCCCCCTCCCCCCACCCCACAATAGTCCCCAGAGTGTGATGTTCCCCTTCCTGTGTCCATGTGTTCTCATTGTTCAATTCCCACCTATGAGTGAGAATATGTGGTGTTTGGTTTTTGGTTCTTGCGATAGTTGGATGAAATTGGAAATCATCATTCTCAGTAAACTATTGCAACTGTATTCTGACATTCTTGAAGAATTTTTCAGCTCTGTCAAATTGGTTTGGTTCTTTGAATGGCCATTTCATCTTTCATCTCCTGTATCATTTTATTGTGTTCCTTAGAATCCTTGTATTGGGTTTCAATTTTCTCCTATATCTCAATGATCTTCATTCCTATCCATATCCTGAATTCTATTTTTAGCATTTTAGCCATGTCAGCATGGTTTAGAACCATTGCTGTGGAACTAGTGCAGTCGTTTGGAGGTGAGAAGACATTCTGTCTTTTTGACTTGTGACAGTTCTTGTGCTGTTTCTTTTTCATCTGTAGGGGTAATGATCCTCCAATCTTTGAAGTTGCTATCCTTTGGATTGCTTTTATATTTTTGCATTTATCTTCTTTGATGCCCTTGGAGGTTTATAAGGTGGATTCAGTCGACTAGTATCATTTCCTTCCCTAGGAGTCAGTGGGGGGCAGGAACAAGTCCATATGTGCAGTAGTCCCATGCTGAGTTCCCATCTTCCTCTCTCTTCAGCCCTGCCTCTGTGTCCTCATTCTTTCCACTCTCAATGCCTTCTGTCTGAAGATCTACTCTGAGCGCACCAGTCTTAATGCCTCTGTCTCTCCATGACAGATGTTTCTACTGGCTTCATTTAGTCAACCTTCTTCTAGGCTTTCAGATCTCTGTTCAAATGTCCTTTCCTTAGAGAAGGCCCCCCTTGGCCCTCCAGACTAGGTCGGGTGAACATCAGATGGACTCAGTACCAAAAAGTATGATGATTTTCATTGAGCTTTGGAGTATTGTGTTTCTGGCCAAGTCCTTGATAGCCACAGATGCTAGTGTAGGAGATGCCCACAGTCTTGCATTGCATTATGAATCTTGTGATGTCTGAGAAGCTAGGTTTCTGCTCCACCTCAGTGATCACTAGGCCCATATGCACAGACAGCTTCTCCAGGGAATGTGAATTCTATATTATCTGTGTTATTGAGTGGAAGGGTGATTTTAATGTCAAGATAAATCTGATACCTTGTGTCTTAATCTTTTTGTGTTGCTATAACAGAACATTTGAGTTGGGATAATTTATAAAGAAAACAGGTTTATTTAGCTTATGGTTCTGCGGGCCAGGATGTTCAAGGGGCATGGCACAGGCATCTACTCTGATTCTAAAGAGGGTTTTTGTGCTGCATTTCAACATGGCAGGAGATCAAAGGTGTAACAGACTCATGCGAAAAGGGCACCCCAAAGGTTGCCCTGACATTATAACAACCATTGTTGCAAAAATTATTCTATTCCCACAAGAACTAATTTGGCTTCATAAGACCTAGAATTATTTCATTCATTACCATGGGAAGGGCACCAATCCATTCTTGAGAGATCACACTCATGGCCCAAACACCTCCCAGTAATCCCCACCTCCCGACACCAACACACTGGGGATAAAATTTTAACATGAGTTATGGTGGGGACAAACCATATTCCAACAATAGCACTTTATTCATGTTCCAGGGAATTTCACTTTCTTTTTCTATCCCTAACTGTCTGGTGGAGAAGCAAACACGCAGAGAAATGGATAAAAAGCAGACCATAAAAGGGAAGAGAAAGTGACAGAATATCCTACATCTTTACATCACTGCCTCTGTAAGAAAAAAAAATAGTTTAAAATGAAACAATGGGGAAGGTATTTGATGGAGATAGGGATGTTGTTCTAAGTGTAATACTTCACAATTATTCAGATATCAATTGTCTAGTAATCCTCAAAAAATTTCTCTTTTTTAACCACTCAGGGGTTAAGAGTACAAGCTCTGGAGTTAGAACTCCTTGGATGAAATCTCGTGAAAAACATTTATGGCAGATACCTTCCTCCTCATGCACACACACAAACACCCCTGTGACATGATTTCTTCATTTACAAAATCAGAGTAATAAGAGTACCTATCTCATATAGTTGTTGTTAAGATCAAATAAGATAATGTATACTATTGAGCATATAGTGTGTTTAGTAAATGTTATCTACTTTTTTCCTCCTAAATATAATCTCAAATGAATTAAATATTATTGACTTGTTTGCCCTAATTTTTTATATAATTCTTACACTAAAATCAGATATGTTTTTCTTCCATTTATCAAACTAAGGTGTTAACCCAATGAGACCTGGGTTATCTTTTCATAAAGAAAAATGATTTAATAGGAATCAAGTTTTACCTTTTTTTGAGTCTGCCCTCTATAATAACTTATATTTGTATAAATATGTATATATTCCAGGTTAACAAAAGCATATTCAGTGTCTATTAAAGGAAATATACCGTGCTAGACAAGGGGGGAAGGGGTGAGAGAAAATAAAATACAGACATGGACCACAATGAGCCTATAAATTGGAATTAAGGTGAAAGCAATTATTATTTTCTGGAGATGTAAAGAAGCATTTATCACAGAGGCCAAAACTGTGTGCTAAGGAGCATATATTCTGAAACCATTGAGTAACAATACTATATTCTCCTGTATCTTACAAATTCAATAGAATAGAAATGAGAACCTGATATGTCTTCAGTGTAACATTGATTTCAAAGCAAGAAAGGAAATCTGCTTTGCACACGAATGTGTTTCTGATTTATATGTTTAACATAACACCATAATCATTATATTAGAACCCACATTTTTGTAACAGGTAGGTTTTTCACAGGTAAGCATTTGGTAATGAATATTTCTGTCCCTCAGCTCATAAGAACTATAAAGTGAGAGATGATATTCATTATTAGATGGAAACTTTGTTTAATTACAACATTTCTGAATGCCAACCAAGTATACCATTAGCATTCATAAACATATGGGCTATTACTTCTCTAACATGGTAGTTTATGTTAATTTATTATATTTTTTATGTAGTGAAGACTCACATCTTTTTCACAGCCTGTCTGAGTAGCAACAAATTATGGCAATCATAGCACTAAAAATTACAACATAAAGCAAATATTTATCTAATTTGAAGTTTGTAATTTTGACACTAGTGTACCAGCTGCACTCTACAAAAAAACAAACAAATAAATAAATAACTCTTCCTGTGCTCCAACTGAAGAACAGCTGTAAGTTCAGCAACTAAATGTCCCGATCAATAGTCACAATTTGGATATTCACCAGACAATATAACTCTAGTGAATGTACCAACAGAAGAGATCAAAACATATGTTGTCTTTCTTCATATTTGACAATATATCTGCTGATTGGGCTACTTTCCTTTGTACACAAATGTGGTTGAAAAGATGGATCTGAATGTGAGATGTGATGCATATTTTTTTTGGCATGATGGTTGTAGTGCCTGTCTTCAGATTCACATTTAACATCTTGTTTCTGTGTTTGTGATATTCCTGGTATTTCATTTCACATAGTATTCCCACTGCAGACTAAAGAATATCCACATGGCTGCCTGCTCCTGATTTTCCTCAAATACATAAAAAGGTTAATTGGGAGTTATTAAGTGCTATCTGAAAATCAGCAGACAGAAACCACTCAGTAGCAGAAGAATGATGAATCCAACGCATTCTCTATAATGCTCATAGAAAAATCAAATAATATTACATTCAAACATAGATGCTTAAAGATGTATTGAGTTTATCATAGCTAAACATAACATTATTTTGAATTTTTTAGTTTGAGAAAAATAAGCTGCTTTGTAACCATAATTTTGCAATCATTCACACTTTTAATTAATTATTCACACTGATTTTTAAACCTCCTAAGTCAAGTTGTAGAGAGACCCCCTTTCGAATGGATCAATTGTAATATAGAATCTTCATGCCATGACTACATAATTTTAAGTCAGATTTTCCTAATAATAATAGTAATAGTGGACCATTATTGAATACTTACTATGCCAGACACTATGCTAAGTTGTTTACATTCATAATCTCATTTAAGTTTTATAACAAATGTATGAGGCTGACACTTATTATCTTCATTATACAGATGAAAAAATTCAGTCACAGAAAGGAGAAAGTAATGTGCTCAGAGCCATATAGCTTGTTGTATAGCATTCATTTTGTGCCCCATATTTAAATGTGTTCACTCATTTCTCAATAGAGCAGTTTTTTATCACCAAATTTTTAAGATCTCAAAAGTCCTATGCACACTTCAAAGAGAAAGTATCATGAGCAACAACAAAATAAACAGCTTAAATTAATATGAAATGAAAATGGGAAGGTAATACCCTATGATGTTCTTTTTGGACCTGTCCTCATAATAAAACACATCTGCAATTAAGACCTACAAATTTCTTCTGGAAGGTGTCTGTATTAGTCTATTTTTACACTGCTATAAAGATACTACATGAGATTGGATAATTTAAAAAGAAAAGAGGTTTAATTGACTCACAATTCCACATGGATGAGGAGACCTCAGGAAACTTACAATCATGGCAGAAAGTGAAGGGGAACCAAGGCACGTATTCACAAGGTGGCAGGAGAGAGGGAGTGAAGGGGAAACCGCCAAGCACTTTAAAACCATCAGATCCCATGAGAACTCATTCACTATTACAAGAAGAGCAAGGGGGAAACCACTCCCATGATCTAATCATCTCCAGCCGGGTCCCTCCCTGAAAACGTAAGGATTACAATTCGAGATGAGATTTGGGTGGGGACACAGAGCCAAACAATATTAGTATCTCATCAGCCTCTCCATTTTGCACTCATTATACTCTCAGAGATGTGTGCCACATCTTTCTATGGTAAACACATTTGGCTCCCTACACCTATAGCTATTTCTAACTCATGATTATTTCTTTGGTTTGAAGCTTTCAAACTTTCTCATGGAGTCCTCTCCTTCACATACAGAGATACTTAAATAAAATTATCTCATAACTCTTTACTTATTGGGACACTCTCTGCAACAGTTTGAATATGTCTCCCAAAAAGCATGTGATCAACATGTAATCCCCAAAGCAACAGTGTTCAGAAGTGAGGCCTAAGGGGAGGTGTTTGGGTCATGAAAGCTCCACCCACATGAATTGAAAAATACTGATTATAAAAAGAACTTGAGGCTAAAAGTTTGCTCTCTTGTCCTCTCTTGCTATCTTGCCTTTTGCCACCTGCTGACTCTGCAAGAAGGCCTTCACAGTTGCCATCCCCTTGATCTTGGACTTCCAAGCTTCCAGAACTGTGAGCTAATAAATTTCTGCTCATCATAAATTACCAAGTCTGTGATATTCTGATATACAAGTAAAAACGAACTAAGATAGAAAATTATTGCTGAGAAGTGGGGCTATTGTTAATAACAAGTACCTGAAAATGTAAAAGAAGATTTGGAACTGGGTAATTAGTAGAGGCTGGAATAATTTGGAGGTGAAGGGAAGAAAAAGCCTAGATTGCCATAAATAGAGTGCTAAGGAAAATTTTGGTGAGGGCTCAAAAGAAAAGAATTGTAGAAAATTCTGAATCTTTTAGAGATTATTTAAGTGGTGATTATCAGGATGCTGAGAGAAGTATGGATAGTAAAGAACATTCTGATGAGGTCTCAGAAGGAAATGAGGAACAATATATTAGAAAATAGAGTAAAGACCATGTCACGTGCATCCGTGTGAAGAGACCACCAAACAGGCTTTGTGTGAGCAATAAAGCTTTTTAATCACCTGGGTGCAGGTGGGCTGAGTCCAAAAAGAGAGTCAGCAAAGGGAGATAGGGGTAGGGCCATTTTATAGGATTTGGGTAGGTAGTGGAAAATTACAATCAAAGGGGGTTGTTCTCTGGTGGGCAGGGGCGGGGTTCACAAGGTGCTCAGTAGGGGAGCTTCTGAGCCAGGAGAAGGAATTTCACAAGGTAATGTCATCAGTTAAGGCAGGAACCGGCCATTTTCACTTCTTTTGTGATTCTTCAGTTGTTTCAGGCCATCTGGATGTATACCTGCAGGCTTGGGCTCAGAGGCCTGACAGACCAACATTGTTGTAAGTGGCAAAGAATGTGGCCAAATTGTATCCATGCCAAAGGGCTTTGTGGAAGGTAAATTTAAGAGCAATGAACTAGAATATCTGGTGAAAAAAAATAACTAAAAAGCAAAGAATTCAGGTTGCTGTGTGGCTTCTTTTAACTGATTATAGTAAAATTTGAGAAGGAAAAAAGGATTTAAAGATGGAATTTATAATTAAAAGGAAACAGAATTTATTGATTAGAAGGATTTTTAGTCTGGCCCTGTGTTAGAGAATGAAAGCATTTTCAGGGGAGGAAAACAAGGGTGTGGCCCAGAAAATGTTTGCAAATATTAGTATAAATAGAACAAAGCCAGAGGTTATTCATCAGTACAATGGGAGAATGACCCCAAACGCACTTTAGAAATTACTGGTGCTGCCCTTCCCATCACAGGCCAGAGGAAGAAGACCTGGAGGAAGGAAATATGTCAAAAGAGTCCTGGGGCATGCTTGGGACTTTGGGAATCCCTGCTTAGGGTCACCTCAAGTCTTTGCTAAACACATTCTAATGCAACACTCTTAAGCCACGCAGCCATAGCTCATGTGGGTCCAAGGGTGGCTTGATTTGACACACTGGATAGTACAAGCTAGAAACATTGGCAGCCTACATATGGTGCCAATTCTGCAATTACACAGAATGCAAGGAATGTGGGGCATAGCTTTCTCCACCCAGATTTCAAAGGATGTCTCCAATATCTTGGGAACTCAGGCAAAGACTTGTCATGGTGGTGGAGCCACCACAGAGAGCTTCCACTAAAACAATGCCCAGCAGAACTGTGGGAGTGAGGCCATCCACAAGACCCTAGAACTGTGAGCCAATATATTTCTGTTCATTATATAAACCAAAAGGTATCTGAGACAAGTCTAAATTTGTTTAGAGGTTTCTTTTGCCAAGATTAAGGACAATGGCCTCTGTCACAGCCTCAGGTGGTCCTGAGAACATGCACCCAAGGTGGTTGGGTTACAGCATCGTTTTATACATTTTGAGGAGACAGATGTTACAGGAAAGACATAAATTAATACATATAAGGTATACATTGGTTTGGCTCTGAAAGGTGGGACATCTTGAAGTGGGGGAATTCCAGGTCATTGGTGGATTCAAAGATTTCCTGATTGACAATTCATTGAAAGAGTTGAGCACCACCTGAAGAGTTGAACTCAGCTTGATTCAAGATAAAGGGGGTTGTAGAAGCCAAGGTTTTTATCATGTAGATGAAGGCTCCAGATATCAGGCTCCAGAGAAAATAGATGGTGGATGTCCTCTTGTCAGACTCTCTTGAAAAGACATAGTAATGGAAGGAGATTCTCTACAGAGAGCAAATTTCCCCCATAAGAGACAGCTTTGCAGGGCCATTTCAAAATATGCCAAAGAAATATATTTTGAGATAAAATACTTTGATTTCCTTCAGGAAATGTTACATCATGTTGAGAGGAGGTGCCAGCTGGGCTTCCTGGGTCGAGTAGGGGCTCAGAAAGCTGTGAAACTCACTCATTTCCTCCATCAGGACTTACTTTGGTCCTGGATGAATAATATTGAAGATATATGCTTAAAATATTCCTAACATCAGAATTTGTGCATGTGTTTTCTTCCCAAAGAAAGCTATAAACAGCAAAAATTTTGCTGTAAGCTTCCCTGTGTCTTCTCTCCCTCTCTCCCTTCCCCTTCCCCTGAAACTAAAAGGAAGGTTAAAAGCCCATTTTTCTGTGACCAGCAGACCTTATCTATGCTCCCAATTCCAGTTCCTTGTAACACAATTTATAAAATCCTGTGAGATCCTGTCTCCTTTGCCGTGCCGCTGCAAGGTCATAAGGTAGATAAAACTTAAGTTGCAATTCCGGTTTTCCTCAAGATCTGAGACATGTTAATTGTCTCTGTTTCTCGCTCTGGTAACATCTTCCCACTGCACGTATTTCCCGCCTTAAAGAGTTGAAAAGGTGATCGAAAAATCTAACACTGGCTACCTGCTCGGGACCCCTTCCAGGCTGTGGAAGCTTTGTACTGTCACTCTGCTCAATAAAGCCTACCGTTTTTTTTTCTCTCTGTCAGATCCGTGTCTCTCTCTTGCCACAGGCTGCCACCACACCAATACTTTGGCGTGGCTAAGGCAAGAACCTTTGGTGTTACAATGTGATGCTATACCAGAGTCAGGTTGGAGTTGGTATCTTATTGCTACAGTGTGTTTTGTCAGTCTTAAGATCTCTGTTTTAATGTTAATGTGGGTTCAATGTGTCTAAACTGCAAAGGGAAGAAAGTATAATGAGGCACATCCTGACCCCTGCTTCCCATCATGGCCTGAAATAGTTTTTCAGATTTCCTTGGGATACCCATGGCCAAGAGAGGAGTCTATTCAATTGGCTGGGGGGCTTAGAATATTACTTTTGGTTTATAATTATATATTACCCGGTCTCACATATTCTGTTACAGCAGCACAAAACATACTAAGACATTCTCTCAATCTGGAGGACCAGTTCTTTGAAGGCAAGGATCATATCATATACAATTTTGAATTCTCATTTTCAGGCATGTAACAGACGGTGAGTAAATACTAAATGGATGAGTTGAATGAAGGAGACATTGCAAAAATGAAATTATGACTTCTACCCCATCTGCCTAAAAAAACATAAAATTAAACAATGCTTTTCAAATAGAGCTATTCATAACTTTTAATCAAGAAACATCAATATATTGGCTGTCCTATCTCCTTGCTTATTCTAAAATAATGTGCATGATATAAAAATTATAAATTTGTTCATTGTGAGCAGATAACTAGATAACTTTGTTTCAAATTTAGTTGATGATCAATGCAAATTTGATAAGATAAATTAAAATTTAAAGACTATTTTGAAAAAATATAAATTTAATTTAATCTATCATGTGATTATTAAATTCCTTGAAAGTCCACTTAAAAGGCATAAATTGAAGTGAACAGCAAATGGGACATAGGAGAAAACTGAGAGAGTATACAATCCTAAAGTAAAAAGACATACAATAATAAAACCAAAAGCATACAACCATGAAATCCATAAAGGAAAATAAACAATTAAAAAAGAGAAAGCACTTTAGTAAAGTTATAGGGCTAAATGAAAGAGAATACTAGGTCATTCAGCAATAGAAAGGGAGAAGGGTATTTCTGAGTCTAGAAAGAAAGCCAAGTGGAGTCTAATGCATGATTTAGCTCAAGCCAAATACGGTCTGACCAGCAGAGCTAAATTTCAAACTCTTGAGTTTTCTGTTCACTGAGGTTTTTATTTTTATTTAAGTGATATTGCAGATATTAAGGGAAGAAAATATATAATGACTTTCAAATAATTTGCTAATTTATTCCCTATTTGTGTGTCATCTTGTCATCCAACATACATGATACAATTCAAAAATAATTTTTCAGCTTTCTATTCTGTGAACAGAAATAGTTCATACAACCTACTTTCATTCTGTCTAGACAAATACAAATGGCCAATTAACTTCTTCCTTCCCTTCCTATAACTCCACAAAACTGTTGCCATACTATGATAAAGCTTCAACTTGGGGCACTTTACCTCCCACCATCTTTTGTTTTGATTTGCCTTATAGCTGCTCTCCCTAACTTCGTCATGGAATACTGCAAAGACAAGTGACCAAGGTTTCAAATTAACAAATTCAAATAGGAAGCAATCAGGCTATAGGGAATTTGCTAGTAAATTAATAAATATTCCAGAGCACTTTTAGCAGCCTTAAGTTATCAGTCCAATTTTCTGAGTAGCAGAGTATGTGCAGAAACTCTTAGGAGTCTAAGAAGGTTAGCAGTGCCCTTTTTCAGATACACAAATTAAAGGAGATGTCTTCATAGAAATTCTTGTTTTTGCATACATTTGACAAGCCACAAATATCACATGAGATATCACTGGCTTTATCTGGCCTCCTTGATCCTACCATTCTGGAATTAAAAAAAAAATGGCATAGAAGTAATGGCACCAAAGAATTTGTAAGAGTAGAAAATGGAGCTGGTGGTTGATAATCATTGGTCAACTTATTTTGTAGAAAGAACTTGGTACTCCTAATAAATTGGGGAAAATGGTCTCACTATTCAATATTTTACTTTTACTTTAAAGAGAATAAAAATGATTGTATGTAATTAATGCTCTGCTATACTAACTCAGAAGTACTTATGTCAAAAAATAATACGATTTGATAATAAGCTTTTGCTTACCTTCATAAATCATACAAAACAGAGTGAAGAGCATGCAAAAAGCCATGGAAGTGTGAAAGAGTAAGAGATATATGAAGAACAGAGAGAAGTTTATTTAGGTTACAGAGTACACTGTATTTAAAGAAGTTATCAGAGATGATGATAGAAAGTTACAATAAAGAAGATCAGAAAAACACTTTTTCTATGTGAAGGAATTTTAACTTTACTTTCAATGAAAGGGCATAGAAGAGTTTCAAGCAAGGGACAGATAATTAATAAAAATAAATGTAAAATAATTTGGGGAGTCAGAGACCAGCCTTGGCAACACAGTGAGACTAAACCTCTAAAAACCAACACAAAAAATTTAGCCATGCATGATGTCACATTCCCATAGTGCTAGCTAATTTGGAGGCTGAGGCAGGAGAGTCACTTGAGTCTAGGAGTTCAAGGCTGCAGTGAGCTATGACTATGCCACTGCCCTGCAGCCTGGGCAACAGAGTGAGACTCTGTGTTTAAAAATTAAAAAATAAATAAATAAATAAAACAATGTAAGTTATTAAAAAATTGTCCATTGCTAGTCAAATGAACAAAACTAAAAGGTAAGCAAATTATGGTTTTTGTTATAAATTCCAAAGAAACAGAAACAGAGAACTTTATTTTACTTATTTCTTTTAAACAATGTTATGCATTTCTAAAACATTGTTTTAGAAATGAACAATGTATGGTTCTATCTCAAATAGGATACTCAAGAAGGATATTTGGGAAATTGAGATCATAAACTTCAACAGATGTCACCTTCAGAAAGGAATGAGCTTATTATGAATAAACCTAAGGTTATATAAATCACTCTCTATAAATTTATTATCTCAATAAGTATCTCTAACAGAACTTGAACTAGACTATTAGTTCATTTTCATACTGCTATAAAGAACTACTTGAGACTGGGTAATTTTAAAGAAAAGGGGTTTAATTGAATCACAGCTCTGTATGGCTGAGGAGGCCTCAGGAAACACAATCATGGCAGAAGATGAAGGAGAAGCAAGGCACATATTACATGGTAGCAAAATAGAGAGAAAGAGAGAGAGAGAGAGAGAGAGAGCTATACTTCAAAACCATCAGCTCCTGTGAAAACTCACATGCTACCACAAGAACAGCAAGGACAAAATGTGTACCCATGATCCAATCATCTCCCACCAGGCCCCTTCTCTGACACATAGGGATTGCAATTCAAGATGACACTTTGCTGGAGACACAGAGACAAACTACATCATTATACCCCTGGCCCTTCTCAAATCTCATGCCCTTTTCACACTGAAAACCAATCATGCCTTCCCAACAGTACCCCAAAATCTTAACTCATTCCAGCATTAACTCTAAAGTCCAAGTCCAAAGTCTCATCTCAGACAAGGCAAGTCCCTTTCACCTATAAGCCTGTAAAATCAAAACAATATAGTTACTTCCAAGATACAATGGGGGAACAGGCATGGCTTGAATGTTCCCACTCCAAATTGGAGAAATTGCCTGAAACAAAGGGGCCACAGGCCCCATGCAAGTCCAAAACCCAGCTGAGCAGTCATTAAATCCTAAAGCTCTAAAATATTCTCCTTTGACTCCATGTCTCACATCCAGGGTATGCTGATGCAAGGGGTGGACTCCCAAGAACTTGGGCAGCTCTACCAGTGGCTCAGCAGGGTACAGCCTGAGCAGTTGCTTTCAAGGGCTGGCATTGAGTGCCTGCGGCTTTTCCAGGTTCATGGTGCAAGCTGTTGGTGGAGCTCCTATTCCAGGTTCTGGAGGATGGTGGCCCTCTTCTCTCAGCTCCACTAGGCAGTGTCCCAGTGGGGATGCTGTGTGGGGGTCCCAATTCCACATTTTCCCTCTGCATTGCCCTAGTAGAGATTCTTCATGAGGGCTCTGCCCTGTAGCAGACTTCTGCCTGGACATCCAGGCATTTCCATACATCCTCTGAAATCTAGGCAGAAGTTCTGAAACCTTAACTCTTGCCTTCTGCACATCTGTAGACCCAACACCATGTGGAAGCTGCCAATGCTTGGGGCTTGCACTCTCTGAAGGAACAGCCCAAGCAGTGCCTTGGTTCCTTTTAGCCATGGCTGGAACTGGAGTGGCATGGACACAGGGCACCAAATCCTGAGGCTGCACAGAGCAGCAGCAGGACCTTAGGCCCACCCCACAGAACCATTTTTCCCTCCTATGCCTCCAGGTCTGTGATGGGAGGGGCTGGGGCAAAGATCTCTGAAATGCCCTGGAGATATTTTCTCCATTGTCTTGGCTATTAACATTGGGCTCCTTGTTACTCATGCAAATTTCTGTAGCCGATTTGAATTTCTCCACAGAAAATGGGTGTTTCTTTTCTACCTCATGGTCAGGCTGCAAATTTTACAAATTTTTATGCTCTACTTCGCTTTTAATCACAAATTCCAATTTCAGACCATCTCTTTCTTCATGCATATGAGCATACACTTTTAGAAAAAGTCATGTCACATCTTGAATGCTTTGCTGCTTAGAAATTTCTTACACCAGATACCCTAAATAATCTCTTTTAAGTTCAAAGGTCCACAACTTTCTAGGACAGGGGCACAATGCTTTCAGTCTCTTAGCTAAAGCATAGCAAGAGTGACCTTTACTCCAGTTCCCAAGAAGTTTCTCATCTCCATCTGAGACCACCTCAGCCTGGACTTCATTGTCCTTATCACTATCAGCAATTTGGTCACAACCATTCAACAAGTCTCTAGGAAGCCCCAGATTTTACCTCATCTTCCTGTCTTCTTCTGAGCCCTCCAAATTCTTCCAGCCTCTTCCCCTTATCCAGTTCCAAAGTTGTTTCCACATTTTCAGGTATCTTTATAGCAAACCTCCACTTCATTCAGTACCAGTTTTCTGTATTAGTCCATTTTCACACTGCTATAAAGAACTTCCTAAGACTGAGTAATTTATAAAGAAAAGAGGTTTAATTGACTCACAGTTCCACATGGATGGAGAGACTTCAGGAAACTTACCATCATGGCAGAAGGCAAAGGAGAAGCAAGGCACATCTTACATGGCAGGAGAGAAAGAGAGAGAAAGAGAGAGAGAAAGGAAGTACCATGCTTTAAAACCATCAGATCTCATGAAAACTCACTCTATCATGAGAACATCGAAGGAGAAATCTATTCCATGATCCAATCATCTCCTACCAGGTTCCTCCTCCGACACATGAAGATTACAGTTTGAGATGAGATTTGCATGAGGACACAGAGCCAAACCATATAAACTATGATTGGGACAAACTTTTAAACCAGAAAATCTATATTTCCCTCTCCCTTTCAGCCTATAAAATTTTCAAGTATTACTCCTATTTCCTTCTATGATCTTTGAGATATTATTTCATGTTTTTTTAAATTAGTAAATAAATTTTAATCACTTTAATCACTCAGTGCATGCCTTGAATGGGCTAATATGCTTTATATGCAAGCTTCTCTATGCCCTTGTTCACTTTAGTTATCTTTCACAAAAAAGTCAATAGATATTCTGGTCCTAAAAAATCTCAATAGATGAATGGATAAAGAAAATGTGATTGTGTGTGTGTGTGTGTGTGTGTGTGTGCGTGTGTGTGTGTGTGTGTGTGTGTGTGTGTATGTACAATGGAATACTATTTGACCATACAGAAAAATGAAGTAATGTCATTTGCAGCAACATGGATGGAAATGGAGGTCATTACGTTAAGGGATATAAGCCATAGCTTATTTATGCACAGAAAGGCAAACATCACATGTTCTCACTCATATGAGGGAGCTAAAAAAGTTGATCACAGCTGGGAGTGGTGGCTCACACCTGTAATCCCAGCACTTTGGGAGGCCGGGGCAGGTGGATCACGAGGTCAGGAGATTGAGACCATCCTGGCTAACACGGTGAAACCCTGTCTCTACTAAAAATACAAAAAATTAGCTGGGTGTGGAGGCGGGTGCCTGTAGTCCCAGCTACTCAGGAGGCTGAGGCAGGAGAATGGCGTGAACCTGGAAGGCAGAGCTTGCAGTAAGCCAAGATTGTGCCACTGCACTCCAGCCTGGGCGACGAGCGAGACTCCATCTCAAAAAAAAAAAAAAATGTTGATCACATGGGGGTAGAGTGTAATGATAAATACCAAAGACTGGGAATGGGGTATGAATACAGGAGGGGGTGAAGAGAGGTTGGTTAACAGGTAGAATCATACAGTTTGATAGAAAGAATAAGTTCTAAGGCCAGGTGCAGTGGCTCACACCTATAATCCCAGCACTTTGGGAGGCTGAGGCAGGAGGATCACTTTAGGCCAGGAGTTCAAGGCCAGTGTGAACAGCACACTGAGACCCAGTCTTTACAAAAAATTTAAAAATTTATCCAAGTATAGTGGTGTGTGCCTATAGTCCTAGCTACTGCAGAGGCAAAGTGAGAAGATCACTTGAGCCCAGACATTTGAGGTTGCAGTGAGCTATGATCATGCCACTGCACTGCAGCCTATGTGACAGAGCAAGACATTTTCTCTAAAAACAAAGAAAGAAGGAATAAGCTCTAATGTTCAATAGCAGAATAGGGTGACTATGTGACTACAGTTAACACCAATGTATTGCATTTTTCAAAATAGCTACAAGACAGGATCTGAAATGTACCCAACACATAGAAATGATAAATACTCAGGTGATGGATATCTTGAATACCCTGACTTGGTCATTACACATTCTACACATGTAATAGCATTTCACATGTACTTCATAAATATGTACAAGTATAATATATTTTAAAAATTCAAAAAATTATCTACAGAAACCAAATATTAGCCTGGGTCCCAATTTTTAAAAAGTATGAAGCATAGTGGTTACACTGTGAAAATAAAAAGATTTACTTCTCTAAATCATATATTTTTCATTAAAATGCATACCAGACACTGTTTGACCTCAAACTTCAATTTCACTTTAATACTGTGACAAAATGCCATACATTTCAGACAGTTTAAGGGTAATATCTCTTCCCATTTATTTATCCATTTACCTAATTACTTTAATTAAGCTTAGAATTCAATTCACACGTTTACAATGAGGTGTAATATCTTAAGAGTTTTTCCTTTGAAACTAAACATGGGTCTTTTATCTCTTGTGGCCAGAGTACCCTAAGTCCAAAAAGTATGCTTTTTTTTCACAATGCCCTTGCCACAAATACAAGGAAAATAATTTTTCTCCTTTAGCCTTGCAGGAAGTTGCTTTTTCCTTCCAAAGGATATCTTTTTCAGCTTTAAATGTGATCCAGATCAAAAAGCCAACTGTGTGACTATAACAAAGTCATAAATAGTATGATTCCAACTTTTAGTTTGCAAATATTTGTTTTATATACTAGACTGACCCTAAGCAAAACTGAGAAGTAGGAAGAATTTGTTTGGGTCACCTTTCCACTTTCTCTATGCTCCTCTCTCTTGCTCTTTTAGTTCCTTTTCACAACATCAAGGTCCATGACGCTGTAGAGAGCCAAACCACTGATCATCCCCAGATAATATGCCCTTCACTCTGTTCCTCAGTTTCCATTACTCCTAGACTATAAACCTGTATTTAAGCAGAAATAGATACTAATTTATACTGAGTCATGATCAAACAAAGTATGACTTACTTTAATGCAAAAATCCGCTTCTAGACAGGAGACAGTATGTTGGCAAAATGTTTGAATTCAGGTGGGATATATTGTTGAAAATATATTTCTAAGACTGGACACAGTAAGTGTTGGCAATGATATGAACAACCATACATAGCTGACAGGAATGCAAAATGACACGACTTGGGAAGACAGTTTTAAAGTTTCCTATAAACATAGACATACACTCACCATACAACCCAGCAATTCCATTTCTAGTTTTAATCAAGGTAAATGAAAACATTTCCACACAAAATGTATACATAAAGCCTTAAAGCAGTGTCAATCACAATAGCTAAAAACTGGTAAAAGAACTCCAATGTCTGAAAGAGTGAAATATATAAACAAATTATGTTATATTCATACCATAAAATACTTGCTGCTAAGCAATAAAAATGAATGAACTATTGTTATACACAACAATTTGGAATCTCAATAAAATTATGCTAAAGGAAAGAAGTCAGACAAAAAATA
Source organism: Homo sapiens (assembly GCF_000001405.40). Taxonomy (NCBI): domain Eukaryota; kingdom Metazoa; phylum Chordata; class Mammalia; order Primates; family Hominidae; genus Homo; species Homo sapiens. Next base: position 86,527,454 of record NC_000023.11, on the reverse strand, counting down.
GTGCATTCTCTACATAATCTCTTTATATAAAATGCTAGAAAATACAAACTAATATATATTGACAGAATACAGATCAGTGGTTACCTGGGAGACAGACAGGGAAGAAAGGGTGTAGTAATAGAAAGGTTGAGAAAATGAGTATGCTCACTATCTTGACTGTGGTGATGGTTTCATAGGTGAGCAACAGTCCAAAATTCTCAAATTGTACTTTCTATGTACAATTTATTTCATGTCAATTATACCTCAGTAAAACCTTTTTTAAAGAATGTAGTTGTTAACAAGGACCTTAGTCTTCTCAAATAACTATAGATAGGCAGACATCTATCAACTGATTATTAAATTTTCACCCAATATTGGTGCTATATGAGAAAATCGCCCTCCTTTCTTACCCTCACCTCAATTTAATATTCATTGCTATCTACTATGACCCACTTCAGTTACTCTTTTTACAGGTGTTTGTGTGACTTCATATATTGTCAAATAAGGTTTAAGGGAGAAAGGGTTTTCTATATTACTATAGTTCTTCTCTGTTGGTCCCTTGATTATGCAAGTAACACTACTGAGAAAGGAAATGTCATTACTGCTGAGAATTCAGAAAAAAAAATAAATTAAGTCAGAGTATAACTGCCCCTTTTTATGTTGTAATTTAGTCTGGGAATTCTAATTTTCATTTCTACTAATCATGTAGAAAGCACGATTTGCTAACCCAGTTTGATCTAACACAGTGTTTCAAAAAGCATTCTCACCTGACACTTTCAGGTATACATTAAAAGAGTTAAATAAGAGCCCTCTGGGAAAACAAAGACAGGTATTAATAACATTTTTAAGCTCTACGTTTGGGCATTCTCTACCTTGACTCAGGTATGTGTATGAATGTGTTACTAAGAACTACCATTTTGAGAGCTCTCAGAATTTTTCCTACATTGAACATAAACTGAAAATTAGTTCAAAACATGATCTAGATTTTAGACATTGCCAGAAAGGGAGCAAACAAGTCACAAGAAAACATTTTCACCACTACAATCAAAGTACTCAATTCCTGTTCTCCAACCTTTGGTTGATTAAAATGGCAGAATACCTTATTGTCTATCAATTTTTAAAAGGTGAGTTCTAGGTGCCAAGGATACATTTTGTTACTCATTTTTGGTCACAATATGTAGGTGATACTTGTATATGACAAATTTTATTACTCTTTAATTCTTCAATAGGAAATGATAGACACTCTATTTTGCTCTGCAGAATCCCTTGGATGATTGATAAAATGTATTTTTTTTTAAGAAGGATACAGAATATATTTTGACAAACTACATGCTTTAGTATAATGGGTTATTTTAGTACAGCCATCCACTCCATCCAATAAAATAAAGTAGTAACAAGGCAGCTTATCATTTGTCAGGCATATTATACAATGGAAAGCTTTATTGTGCTATGTAAATGTTCCCTTTCTGCCCTGGAAAACAAAAGCTCGCCAGAATAAAGAGCAGACAATGAAAGAGTAACACAAGTAGTAGGTGAAAACTTGTGTATTTTATTTCATGTAATTTGTGAATTATGGGGAAAATGTGGTTGAAGGATGGGCCCTAGGGATGGAAATGTCTTTTTATAATCCAATAGACTTGGCTTGTGACTATGTAATTTTTGTAAGAGATCTCTCATTTGGGGATGGTTTGAGGATGGACCAGATGGAAAGCAGGGCACTGTGGGATACATCATTTATCACAACGACAGTGTGTAGGCATCAGTGATCCTCTCAACACAGGGGGAAGCTAAAACTGCAAATGTGGAGCAACATTACTGCCAGAGTAGTGGAGTTTGGCAACACTTGCATTTCTCATTAACTTAATCATATTAATTCATTAGCCATATATATCAAAGTAATTCACTCAGGAATTGTCACAAGGAACAATTTATAACTGTTACCTTTCTCTATACAAAAAGTAGGTTGCAGTCATTCAGAAGATTTTGCATACTTCTTAGAAGGAAAAATTATAGCCACAACAAATAATAACAATAATCATCAACCATTTTTATACTAGCTGCCCCACATGTAAACTACTATAAGAAGGAGCAAAAAAGAAAATTAAAGTGTTTTATTTTATTGAAGTTATATGATCAACGACAGATAAATAGATGGATTATTCCAAGGATTTCCTATTTCTGAAACACCAAACATCTGATCTCCTACATTTAACTTAAGCGGTTCCAATACGAGCCTGAAGATTCATAACCTCAATTTTTAATACCCAGGGTTTTTTTGTTTGTTTTTTTCAGAGATAGTTCAGCATATTTGGGAAAGTATGTTGTTTATGATAAATAAAAAGCCTGGCCTTATAAATTCTGGCTCAAATCTTTATTGTCTCTGAGATTTAGAGTAAGTCACTGAGCTTCTTAAAAACTCATTTTCTTCATTTCCTAATCAGAAACGCTAAAAATGCTTACCTCACCAGATTGCTGAGAGGATCAAATGAGAAACAATTGAAAATAGTTCTTTATAACATAGAGCTACATGCATATACATATACAGACATTAAAGATGTGAGGATGTTTGGTAAAGCACTATATAGATTATTATCATATGTCATCATCATCATTACTATCATCATCACCATCACCATCACCAACATCCTATAGGTTTGCTTAAATTTCTCCCCTCCACCTCCAGAAATAAGCAATATCTTCTGCCTTATGACCCAGCCATGCAGGACAAATATTATTGGCAGGAGCCTAAAAAATTGGGGGGAGACATTTTTAAGTTAAAATAAATATACTACATATAGAATAAGGAGCACTGACAGACATCTTAAAACAAAAATTTGTGTTTGGGAAACTGAGATTCAGCTAATATAATAAATGTAGTTCTAATTATTAAGCTGATGTGTTTAAGCTTTTTCTTTAGTAGAGAATCTGCAAATGCATGTTAGTCTAAACTCTACGTTAGAAATATTAGTAATTCAAACTCTGGCTCCTATTATGCCAATGTTTCTTTGTGAGCACCCAAGAATTAAAGAAAATGCAATGACATAAAAAACACCATATGCTGTTTATATGATATGAAGCATACTTTCCAATATTGCTCATTTAAAAACCCAAAGGTAGTCCTAGGAAAAGGTATGTTTTTAGACACTGTAAAACAGCTTCACTGCTTTCACTCCTCTCATCCAAGGAGCAATCCTGACTCCAACTCCACCCCCTGTCAGCAGGAAGTAGTTACAGCAGTCATCAGCTTTTTCCCATCTCCTTAGCTCACAACTCAGGATAGAGGTGTGCTGAAACTGAAAGAGGGAGATTGAAACTGCCTTTGCAAAATTATGACAGTAAAAGAAATCTGACATAGTTGACTCCATTTTGCTTCTAACCTCCAAGCTGTCCTTGGTCATTCCTGGGCATAGGCCAAGGTAAATTTTGGAGGAATTTAGTTTAAAGTTTAACTTTGAAACAAGGATGATAATAGTTCCTCCTTCAAACTAGTCCACTCCCTGTTCTGGGGATAAAACTGCCTAGGTAAAATTAATGTAAAGAAACAAGATTGGGATTACGGGAGGGGCCTGAGTTCTGATAAAATATAGGTGTATTATTCTAACCCAATACTGCTCAGGAGACATGTGGCCTGAAGTCTTAAGATTTGTGACTTCCCCAATTGCTCCTGTAGATAACATCACTATAGTAGATATAAGGTTGGTTTTTGGAGATTTTTTTCAGCCTGACCCCACCCAGATTCATGACTTAGGATTCGACTTATCCTGCGATCCCATCAAGAGACAGGATCAGCACATGAAAACTGTTTTCCACACCCCTATGATTTCATTCCTCAACCAATCAGCAGCACCCATTTTTCAGTCCCCTGCCCACAGAATTGTCCAAAAAAACCCTAACCTACAAGCCTTTAGAGATTGATTTGAGTAATAACTTCATCTCCTGTGTGATTGTCTTTATGTCAATTAAACTATTTTTTACTGCTAAAAAAGGAAAAATTTATTTGATTTAAGGAAACTATCAGAATGGTTAGTTTGTTTTCTAGAATGAGGGCTTGATATTTTTTTTAAACTGAGAATGTCCTAGGACATCTCTTTATGACCACTTCTTAGCATCCAATCTAAGTGAGTGAAAATTTGAAATGCATCATGAAAAGAGGGATACTGATACCAATGATGCAATGAAGTTAATTGGCCTTATATTATGAGATTGAATTCACACTGTCAACACTAGATGTAATTCTACTTTTGGTTTTGCTAATCCCGAGTTGAGTGCTGTAGGTACTATTGCTGAATTGAATCTTCATGGGCTTAGTTACCTGAAGACATGAATGGCATCTGACATTCTTAAAAAACAATTTTGCCATGATATAGCTAGAATAAACAAACCAGCTTAAGAACCTTTTAAGGAATGAACACCACAGAATTTTCATCTGAAGCACTTTATTTCTTCCTTGTAAGCTGTCCGTTTAAATCTTTCTCAGGCCAAATTTCACATCTGTCTATTAGAAATGCTTCATAAGCTGAGGAAAGGGAAGCCATCATCTTTTGGGAAACTCAAAGGCACAAACAACAAATCCATCCCATCAGTGTGATCCAGAGATATTAGCACTTCTGCAGAGATACAGAGAAGGATGTATATAATATTCCCTCTCCTTTTCTCCCTGTGTATCCCTAAATGTTTTACAGAAAATACTAGAAAATGGGATACTTATATCAGAATGAGCTATTGGGGAATTAAGCTATTGATTGTATGATGGAAACAAAGACAGAAATACATAAGATGGGAATATCAGTAGTTCAAATATATAAAGGCAACAAGCAGTCTAACTTCATTTTGGAACATCTAGAGAAAGGCTAGGTGGAATCTGGGAAAACTCTAACTCACAAAATGAATGCTATTTTAGTGTTATAATGTATTCTTATATTGCTTGGTACAGAGCAGATGTTCAATAAATAAATGTTAAATGAAAGAATGAATGCATATATAGCTCTAAATCTATTTCAATAGTATATATGTCGATAGTTACATAGATATAATATCTAAATGAATATCTGACAATATTATCAAGAATAGATCCTAAGGGACTTACCTTAGTGAATAAAGATGCATTAGTATTAATTAATATGTTGATTACTTGTATAACAGATCTCACTAAAGTGATTTCAGGTACCTAAATAACCCCAAAATATTTTAACGACACTACATTTGTGCACATATTCACATACACACACACTTATTGTTCATACATTTAATTTGCTAAATAAGATATTCTTACTAATACCAGAGACTTTGGCATATACACTGTCTGAACTCTCACAAATTCTGAACTAGTGGAGTTTAAATAAATCAGGTTTCCTTATGTAGGAAAAATATAACCAAGAGTAAAATAAATTTCTTTTAAATTAAAACAAAAATACAAATTACAGAAGAAAATAAAATCAGATAAAAATAGAAGACTTTATCTTTATAGTATGCAAATAAAGCAATATGGCACACCTAACATTATACTGCATCCTGGATGATTTACATGTCAAGCTATATAAATTAAAGGACTATTCTGAAATAAATCTAAGAATGATGCCTGAACCTTTTCTAATCCTTTTCACTGGCATTTTTTGCATGCACCTGCTGAGGAAAAAAGACCAACAATTTAACTTTTCCTCCACACATTTGAATGCAGGTGAATAAGATACTGCTGGGCATATAAAATAAATTCATGTAAACTAAGGAAGGAATTTATGTAGAGCTCTGCAGATTCCTCCACCTTCCCTTGATTACTTTTTTAACTGTCTGCATCTTTAACAAATGTGCTCATGTCTTTCCTCACTCAACGTTTTGTCTAGCTCTATAATCCCATTCTAGGCACAAGCAAAGGACTAAAAATTGAAGAGTTTTGTCTCAATGGCTCACTTGATGGTAAAGCCAAGTGGCAGGAAGTAAAACAAAGCTTGAATCCAAGGAGTATGACAGTATGAGTAACTTGAAAAACATATTTCAGAATGTCATCCATGAAGACTTCCCCAAACTTGCTAGAGAGGTCAACCGTCAAATTCAGGAAATACAGAGAACTGCTGCAAGATTCTACACAAGATCATCCCCAAGACACATAATCATCAGATTTTCCAAGGTCAAAATGAAAGTAAGAATGGTAAAGGCAGCTAGAAAGAAAGGGCAGGTCATCTACAAAAGTAACCGTATCAGGCTAACAGTGGACCTCTTAGCTGAAACCCTGTAAGCCAGAAGGAATTGGAAGCCTACATTCAACATTCTTAAAGAAAAAAATCTTCAACGAAGAATTTCATATCCAGCCAAACGTAGCTTCCTAAGTGAAGGAGAAATAAGATCCTGTTCAGATTAGCAAATGTTGAATGAATTCCTTACCACCAGACCTGTCTTACAAAAGATCTTGAAAGGAGCACTAAGCAAAGCGAGGGAAGACCACTGCCAGCTAATATAAAAACACACTTAAACACACAGACCAGTGTCACCCTAAAGCAACCACGAAAACAAGCCAACATAATAGCAAGCTAATAGCACAATGACAGGATAAAATCCACAAATATCAATACTAACCTTGAATGTAAATGGGCTAAATGCCCCACTTAAAAGGCACATAGTGGCAAGATGGATAAAAAGGCAAGACCTAAAGGCATGCTGTCTTCAAGAGACCCATCTCACAATTAATGACATTCATAGGCTCAAAAATAAAGGGATGGAGAAAAATCTACCAAGCAAATGGAAAACAGAAAAAAAGCAGGAGTTGCAACCTTAATTTCAGAAAAAACAGATTTCCAACCAATGAAATATTTTTAAGAAGGGGCATTACATAATGGTAAAGTCTTTAATTCAGCAAGAAGACCTGACTATCCTAAATATATATGCACTCAACCCAGAAGCACCCAGATTCATAAAACAAGTTCTTGGAGACCTACAAAGAGACATAGACTCCCACATAATAATAGTAAGAGACTTCAGCCCTCCAATGAAAGTATTAGGCAAATCATTGAGGCAGAAAATGAACAAAGATATTCAAGACCTTAATTCAACTTTGGACCAACTGGGTCTGATAGAACTTTACATAACTCTCCAGCCAAAAACAACAGAATATACATTCTCACCACCACATGACACATACTTTAAAATCAGCCACATAATTGGACATAAAACAATCCTCGACAAATTTTTAAAGAACCAAAATCATACAAAACACACTCTTGGACCACAGCACAATAAAAACAGAAGTGAAGACGATGAAAATGATTCAAAACCATACAATTACATGGGAATTAAGCAACATGCTCCTGAATGACTTTTGGGTAAATAATGAAATTAAGGCAGAAATCAAAAAGTACTTTGAAAATAAAGAGAACAAAGACACAACACACCAGAATCTCTGGGACAAAGCTAAGGCGGTATTAAGAGGAAAATTCATACCACTAAATGTAAACATAAAAAAGTTAGAAAGATCTCAAATTAACGACCTAACTTCACAACTGATACAATTAGAGAAGCAGGAACAAATCAAGCCCAAGGCTAGCACAAGAGAAGAAATAAAAAAAATCAGAGCTGAACTCAAGGTAATTGAGAAACAACAACAACAACAACAAAAATTCAAAAGATAAACAAATCCAGGAAGTTTTTTTGAAAAATTTAATAAAATACATAGGCCACTAGCTAGACTAATAAGGAAAAAAGAGAGGAGATACAAATAAACACAATTAGAGATGATGAAGGGAATGTTATTACTGACACCACAGAAATAAAAACAACCATCAGAAACTACTATGAAGACCTCTACACACATAAAATTAAAAAACCTACAAGAGATGGATAAATTCCTGGACATACACACCCTCCAAAACTGAGCCAGGAAGAAAGTGATTCTCTGAACAGACCAATAACACACTCTGAAATTGAATCCATAATAAATAGCCTCCCAACCAAAACAAACCTGGGATCTGTTGGATTCATAGCTAAATTTTACGAGATGTATAAAGAAGAGCTGGTATTATTCCTACTGAAGCTATTCCAAAAAATTAAAGAGGAGGGACTCCTCCCTAACTCATTCTATGAGGCCATGATCATCTTGATACTGAAGCCTGGAAGAGACACAACAAAAAAGAAAACTTCAGGCCAATGCCCTTCATGAACATCGATGAAAAAATCCAGAACAAAACACTTGCATATTGAATTCAGAAGCACATCAAAAAGATAAACTATCAAGATCAAGTAGGCTTCATCCTCAGGATGTAAGGTTGGTTCAACATATTGAAATCAATAGATGTGATTAATGACATAAACAGAACTAAAGACAAAAACCACATGATTATCTCAATAGATGCAGAACTGGTTTATGATAAAATTCAACACATCTTCATGTTAAAAACCCTCAATAAACTAGGTATTAAAGGAACATACCTTAAAATAATAAGAGCCATCTATGAGAAACCCACAGCCAACATTATACTGAATGGGCAAAGGCTGAAAGCATTTCTCTTGAAAACGGTAACAAGATAAGGATGCCCTTTCTGAACTTTTCTATTCAACATATTATTGGAGCTCCTAGCCAGAGCAATCAGGCAAGAGAAAGAAACAGAGGGCATCCCACTAGGAAGAAAGGAAGTTGATATATCTCCATTTGCAGGTGACATGATTTTGTATCTAGAAAACTCCATTGTCTCAGCCCCAAAGCTGCTCCAGCTGATAAACAACTTCAGCACAGTTGCAGGATACAAAACCAATATACAAAACTCACTAGCATTCCTATACACCAATAACAGCCAAACTGAGAGCCAAATCAGAAAGGCAATCCCATTCACAATTGTCATAAAATCAATAAAACATCTAGGAATAGAGCTAACCAGGGAGGTGAAAATCTCTACAATGAGAATTACAAAACACTGCTCAAAGAAGTCAGAGAAGACGTAAGCAAATTGAAAAACATCCCATGCTCATGGATGGGAATAATCAATATCATTAAAATGGCCATACTGCCCAAAGCAATTTACAGATTCAATACTATTCCTGTCAGACTACCAATGGCATTCTTCATAGAACTAGAAAAACCTATTTTAAAATTTATCTGGAACCAAAAAAGAGCCCAAATAGCCAAGGCAATCATAAGCAAAAAGAACAAAGCTGGAGGCATCATGTTACCCAACTTCAAACTATACTACAAGGCTACAGTGACCAAAACAGCATTGTATTCATACAAAAACAGGCACACAGACCAATGGAACAGTTTGGAGCACCCAGAAATAATGCTATGCATCTATGACCACCTGATCTTCAACAAAGCAGACAAAAATAAGGAATAGGAAGAAAACTTTCTTATTCAATAAATGGCACTTTGATAATTTGCTAGCCATATGCAGAAGACAAACTGGACCCCTTCCTTACACCATATACAGAAATCAACTCAAGATGGATTAAAGACTTAAATGTAAAACCCAAAATTATAAAATCCCTTGAAGACAACCAAGGCAATACCATCCTAGACATAGGAATGGGCAAAGATTTCATGACATAGACACCAAAAGCAATCACGACAAAAGCAAAAATTGACAAGTGGGATCTAATTAAACTTAAGGGCTTATGCACAGCAAAAGAAACTATCAACAGAGTAAACAGACAACCTACACGATGGAAAAAAAATATTTGCAAACTATGCATCTGACAAAGGTCTAGTATCCAGCATCTATAAGAAACTTTAACAAATTTACCAGAGAAAAACAAACAACCCCATTAAAAAGCGGGCAAAGGGTCAGGCGTGGTGGCTCACAACCGTAATCCCAGCACTTTGGGAGGCTGAGGTGGGTGGATCGTGAGGTCAGGAGATTGAGACCATCCTGGCTAACATGGTGAAACCTCGTCTCTACTAAAAATACAAAAAAATTTAGCCAGGTGTGGTGGTGGGTGCCTGTAGTCCCAGCTACTCGGGAGGCTGAGGCAGGAGAATGGCGTGAGCCCAGGAGGCAGAGGTTGCAGTGAGCCGAGATTGCACCACTGCACTCCAGCCTGGGCGACAGAACAAGACTCCATCTCAAAAAAAAAAAAAAAAAGTGGGCAAAGGACACGAGCAGACACTTTCCAAAAGGAGACATACACGCAGCCAACAAGCATATGAAGAAAAGCTAAATATCACTGATCATTACATTTTGTGGTATCATTAGATTTTGTGATCATTAGATTTGTGGTAAATCAAAACCACAATGAAATACCATCTTTCACCAATCAGAATGGCTATTACTAAAAAGTCAAAAAACATGCTGACGAGTTTGCAGAGAAAAGGAACACTTATACATTGTTGGTGGAAGTGTAAATTAGTTCAACCATTGTCAAAAGCAGTATGGCAGTTCCTCAAAGAGTTAAAAGCAGAACTATCAGCCTGAAATTCTATTACTGGGTATATATACCCTGAGGAAAATATATCATGCTATGATAAAGAAACATGCACGTGAATGTTCATTGCAGCACTATTCATGATAGCAAAGACACAGAATCAACCTAAATGCCCATCAATAACAGATTGAAAAAAGAAAATGTGGTATATATACACCATGGAATACTATGCAGCCATAAAAAAGAGATCATGTCTTTTGTAGGAACATGGATGGAGCTGAGGACTATTATCCTTAGCAAACTAATACAGGAATAGAAAACCAAATACCGCATGTTCTCACTTATAAGTGGGAGATAAATGATAAGAATTTATGAACACAAAGAAAGGAACAACAGATACTGGGGTCTACTTGAGAAGGGGCAGGAAGAGGGAGAGGAGCAGAAAACATTACTATTGGGTAATAAGCTTAATACCCGGGTGATGAAACAATATGTACAAACAAAAATAAATTAATTAAACTAAATAAAATTAAAAAAAAAAGAAACTCAGTTCTGCCACTCACTTGCTTTGTGACCTTAAGCAAATAATTTAAACTCGCGGAGCCATAGATTGTTTACCTTAAAAATGAAGTCATTGTCCATAAGGCTACTATGAAGATTAAATGAAGTATATATAAAACACTTGGCACCCACGGCTAGTACATAAAAAGAACTTAATATATATTAGAGCTTTTCCTCAACAAATAACCTACTAATGTTTACTCAACATGATTTAGCTTCAAGGCAATTTTAAAATTCTTTTCTTCTTTCATCTGTACATTCCCACAAAACCAGGACACAGATTTGATTATTTGCATGGTACTCTTTCTAGGCTCTAGGAATGTATTTCAGGAGGCAAGAAATAGATGGTCATTCATTGAATACCAAGATATATTTCAGATGTTGTTATGCTTTCTATCTTCATTTATATGCACAGGGCTACTCTCTTATATCAGAATTTGTTTATAAATATTTAAAGTTGAAAATTCATTATCTTCCCCCTCAAAGCCTGAGTGTCTTCCCAAGTTCTCTGTCTGAGTTAATTATACCATCATCCAGCCTATCACCCAAGCTAGACGTGAATCATCCTAGACCACCACCTTAGCCTCTACATTTAATCAATTATCAAGTGTGATTAACTCTAATTACTGAAGCACTCAGAACCTTTTCTCCATTCTATTGGATTTGCCTTCAGGCCCTCAATATTTCTCCTTTGGACAGTAGCAACGGATATTCCTTCATTTCATTACCTTCATTGCTATCAACCCTCCAGGCAATTGTTTTCTGATCATTTACTCAGTTCCTTAGCAAGGGCTCCTTTTACCTATAGAAGTTTCTTTAAGAATAAAACAAAACAAAATCATAAGTGAAGGAGAACATATAAAATTCTAACTGAGGCAGAAGTGTGGAGCATGTAAGTACTTCCTCACTTCTATGTCAGCCAGTAAGGAAAGTCCTGAAAGACACTTTGGAAACCACTGGTCTAAAGGGAAAAACTTAAATTGCTTAACATGGTAAATCAAAAACTGGTTTCAGAAGCTGGCTTTTCCCTCCCTTTCTATTCCAACCACATCACCTATAAGTCTTCTACCTTAAAGCTCTGCTCCAGTCTCTTCAACTTAACTGCTACTCCCCATAACACACTGGGCTTTTTCTCATCTATCTGTACTCTTCTATCTGCTTGGAATGCTCTTCCTCTGATTCTGCATCTGTCCAATGCTCAGCCTACAAAATACAGCTCCAAAGTTTCCATCTTATGGAGTATTACCCAACTTACCAAAATTGATATAACTGCTTCCATTTACATGATATTATAGCACCTTGTATGTGCTTGTATTTTGGCCTCTATGACACTTTAATGCAATTATTAATTTACATTCCACTCTCCCCAGTTCTAGCGTGGCAAGGACCACTACTCGTATATTTTTACAATGCCTAGAAATGAGTACCCAGAACACAACAGATGCTTTATAAATGTTCGTATCATTATGTATAAAGATATCATTGTTATTAAATTCATTTTCTATGATGTAATAGCTTTAATGATTTTTAAAGATTCAATTATAGAAATATTAAGCTTATTTTAAAGTGTTTTTGTGTACTCTCAGGTACTTTTTTAAGGACTCAACAAAGTTCAATGCTAATTTATAACACTGGAGTTTTACCAGTTATTCACAGCGTTCAATGAAAAACACTAAGACATTGTTCAGGACAATGACCACCTGCACCTTCTTCTTCTCTAATCATAAGGCTCCTATACCAAGGATGCATTTTAGGTCTACTTTTTAACCTAGAGTAATAACTTGGACAACATACATGAATGCCCAGAACCACTGGAAACTAAAAGAATATTACTGAGACCTAAGTATACAGGAGTGCTGCACCCTATAGGAGGCTTCGAGATGATGCTGTTTGGGCCAGTGCCTCCATTCCTGTCCCTAGCACAGAAACATATACATATATACAAACAATAAGGCCTTGAAAGGGATTTTCTGCAATGATACGACAATTTTTAAAATCACGTCCATTTGATTTGTCGCTCAAGTAAAAAAATTTGTTTTCACGAACACATAAAAAAATTCAGTAATGTAACCTCTAATAGAGCTTGAAAAGCTCTGAAGGACAAGGCAGTTAGATCAATATTGGTTTATTTCAAATGCTGGGCAGTACGAAGAGACATGGCTGATCATCAGATGGATTTTATTACCTGTCGGAGTGATAAGTCCTGGCGATAAGAGGCCTGGGACTGCATGGGTCAGAAGGCGGGCATTTTCCTGCAACACTCCCAAAGAACGCTTAGGGGGCCTGCCGGGTCTTGAACTGTTGAAAAACAGACAAATATAGATAAAGGTTAAAAATGTACTCTTTTTGAGAAAACCATCACTTGCAATATTTACCTTTTAAATCTTGTTTAATTGCCAAAAGTGATAGAATTTTACATTAAAGACTATTTTCGTGGATTACTAAGAGACCAATTCTTTACTTTCCGCTAAATTTTCCACCATTGTTATGGCAAACATTAGCGCCATAAGGGATCAATTTTAGTTTAGATTCCATTTACAGGCCAGCACTTTGCAATGCAGCTTACCTGTTGTGTGAGAAACCCTAAGTTACCCCTGCTTTTAAAGCTACGCTTGATCTGAAGTATTAATAAATGCTTCTGAGATCTGAGATAGTGACTCACAGAATTAAGATTATATAGAATGTGAAGTGATTAAGTCTCTGCCCAGCATGCCAGAGGTGAATAGTAAAGAGCTGAGAGATGTAGAATAGAAGCTGATGTTTATTAGCATTTCCACAGCTGCTGGGAGCCAACGAGGAACAAAGGGTTACCACCCTCAGTAGGTTTTGTTTTCCTATGTAGTTTTTAAACCAAGCTGTATAACAAGCAGTTCACTCTCTTGGAGTGGCCACACTAACAAAACCTGCCACCTTTGCAGTCTAGGCTGTCTTTTCTCTCGGATTGATTGGTGTTTTTAACTAATGAGTTGATGATAAACTTATAACATTAACCTAACCCATTGCATTTGTACATTCTTCACCCATTAGCAGTTCAGAAACTGTAATTGCAAATGCTAATAATGAAATAAAAAGTCAGTATCTGTTGCCTCCATCTTGTACCGTAATAGAGTTAGGGTACTGAAAATATCATTTTAAAGCTGTCACTACATGAAGAGACTTGTAAGTCATAGAACATTAGGATCAAGTTATTCTCGAGTCACCCAATATATTTCAAATATTACTTTCTAATGTTGCCTAAGATATTGCTGTTGCCTTTTAGTAGAAATGCATTTTACAAAGCTGAATGATATGAGTTTTGACAAAATACTGCAAAATACTATATTAAATAATTTTAGCAGCAAAAATGTATGAGGTTCAGATAGAGAACATACCCCAAAATGACTTTTGGTTTACAAAGAAATTTAAGTTAAACCTCACTCTATCAACTTTGCAGTAGCAAAATGATCCATCAATGTAAGACAAACTCTGCTTTTAAATGAAAAACAACTTCTAGCAACCTTACACGGAGGTATCGTTACCCAGTTCATTTTTCATACACTGTGCTAGTGTTATTTTCTTCCACTGTACATCAATATTATATATCAATCTAGCGCAAAAGATTCTGTTTTTCTCATTTGATGTTTCAATTTTATAAATGGACTCTCCTCTCCTTCTTTCTACTTGATTCTGGGCCATAATTTATTTTCTTTAACTCAGTGTTTTACCGTGTTTGCCTTTGCCCTATTTTATGGCTTTCTGACTCTTTTAAGGAATGCTGGAAGCAGAAATATCCTATGTACTTCGAATGTCCTAAAGGATCCCAATATCACTGAAAAATGTTCATCGGAATATATCCAGGCATCAGAGAAAGACACATTATTTTATCGAATAAGCTTCATCAAATCTATACTTTCTAAATGCTTTTTTGTGTCCTTCTATTTGTCAGAACTCAAGCCTACTAACTTTATTTAAACACACCTGATTAGTCTTTGTATTTGTCCGCTGTAAACATCTCAGTGCTATCTCCATTCTCATGAACACTTTCAGACTGGCTGCCTCCAGAACTAAGCAGCCTGATGCTCCCTCTACTTCCACGTGATGAGCCATATGACTGCCAGCAGTTAACAGTACACTTTGAAAGCCATAAGGTTTAACTAGTTCTGTTCCAAATTTCTTGGTCAATTCTCACTATCTGAAGCAACTCTTTTCCAACAATCTGACCCAGGCTTGGGAAGCATTAGAGGCCTCTTAGTCCAGTAGTTCTACCTTAAAGGTGAAGATTTGAAAAAAAAAAAAATGGTTTCACAGCTTATTTCACAAATGGCTTGGTACTATCTATTCCCCATGTTATAAAATCCAGGAGGACCATATTATCCATCCTAACTTTCATCTCAGTTCATAATTTTATGTTGTTGGTATGATTAATTGTGAGTCTCCCCAACTGGAATCTAAGCTCCATGAAGGTAGCATACTTGTCTGGTTTTGTTTGTTACTGTATCCTAAGCAATTCTCATGGTTTCTAGCAGAAAGTAAGATCCAGCAAAAAGTTAATTAAAACAATTAATTAATATACATAGGAAACAATCTTTCACTGCTTGTACAGTTTCCAAATATTCCTTCAATTACTCTGGTCTCTTTGATCACAAGAACAGAGAGCCAGTTTCATTTAATCATAACATAATTGTGTTTTTAAATCTTGAACTTCACAATAACTATAGCAGCTTCAAAACATGATCAACTCAAATCTGACTGTGTACAAGGGTAAAGAAGGCTATGGATAGATCCCATTGTCTTATTCACTTAGAAGCCCTACAAGCTTCAAGATCTGCTTAAGGAATAAAGGCCCCTGTAGTCACACATAGGCAGTAACGATATCACTTATTCAGTCATCTAGTAAACAAACATGCACTAGGTACCCATTAAGCGTGTGTGTGGTATAATGCTAGGTATCAGTGACACAGAGGGTAAAATGTAACCTCAACGAGGGCAAAGATTTTGGTTTGATTTTTTCATTGATATATTGTGAGAACCTAGAACAAGTTTTGCCTTTCAGGAGCTTGTGGTCTAGTTATAGAGATGTGTGTTTGCCCTGTTATTTAAAATTTCTGATTGACCCTTTAGTGAGTATGGTTGTGAGATCCCTGCTTCCAAACTTGTTTACATTTATCAGTCATCAAATATCACATTCAGATTTCTTTGTTTTTAATTTTGGAACAAAGACTTGGGCCCCAAGAGTAAATTAATTGGAATGAAGTTTGTGAAAGTGCTTTATAGTCAATATACCTACATACAAATATAAGATAGCTTTATTCTATTAGACCTACTGATTCTCCATAGTACGACATTCCTAGACATTCCTGCACTTCATTTTAAAGAACACGAACCTGACAACACGATGAAAGATTGTGGAGGACTCTGTAAAAAGTTGGGAAGGATCTTTCTTGATATATGATCTTGCCATACTTCTTATCTTTAAGAGCTGTATTAGCATCAGGCAGATATTCACATATTAATCAAGGCAAATAAACATGTGGTGGTTTAACTAGGTAACTGTTATTTGGATGACAATTTAATCGGCATAGGTTGAAAGGTCCATCATTGTAGCACCTGCTTCTACTAAAATGTTGATTGCATTACTGATCTTAGTAATGCTTTATTTTACAGGGCACGAATAACCATGTAATTACTCTTTAATTAAATGATAATTGTTTCTTGGCAATTATTTGTTTTCAGTTTAATTACAAGGTTATTTGTAGTCTGTAAAATAAAACAGGCCTTTTTACAAAGTTCCCATCCAAATGGCTCTGCCAATATATCACTCATGTACACTGTAAAGGAAAGTTGTTATGGTACAAGGCAAACAACCCCATAAAATAGTCAAACTTAATAAATACCTCAGCTAAATCTTGGAGAGATTCAGCTTTATAGAATTCACATTAAGTGTAATATTTCTAGGTTATTTAAAGGGAAATTACACTAAATAATCATAATTTCTCTGGGCCCAGGTCATCCCTTAACATAATTTATCCTCATATGATTTCCCCGTCATTCTGTAAACTTCTTTAGAAGAAATGAAATACTCACCCAGCTTCCTGAGATTGAAAAATAAACCAACTTAAAATATATATTAACAGTACTTCATATTTCTGCAGTTGAAGTGGATTACCATCAGAGCATTACCTTGAAGTTTACAAACTTTGTAGAGTTGGCAATTCCCTAAGAGAGAATTTCAGCAAGTCTTCTAGTGTCAATAAGATAGGACACATTCTGTGATATATCTATTCCAAGTTGAGCAATAGAGAAGGTAGCTCATACATCATTCATTAAGATTACTAAATTTGACTGTTGAATTTATTTTTGTTTCATGTCATTTGTGATTCAAGGAGTAAGCAACTGAGTAAGAGTGATTTTTGTTGTTCCAAAGAAAAAATCCAGTTAATTAATTAATGATGTCATAAGCTTTAAAGATATTTAATATAAATCATATGAGCAGTCCTTGATTCAGCAAGGAATCACAGTTTATGTCATCCCTTCAATGAAAGCTTGTCTTCCTACTTCTTAAAGAAACACTTATAACATCCCAGGACAGTCTGTGAAAATTGCTGCAAATATAGTGGTAGTTAAGGGTGGTATTAGCAGCAACTTGTAAAAACCACTGCAATTGAATTCCTGAAGTGAAAGCCATTACCAATGACTTGGGATTTACTTTTCAGAGTTATCACTGATATTTAAAATCCCTTGAGATAGTACCTGAATGTGTCACTGTTTAGCGTACATTAGAAGCCAGAAAACCAAAAATGACATTAGCTTTGAAGGCGTTGTTTACCTGACTATGAAAGTGCTGCTCTGAATTTCAATGTGCACGTTATATTAAATAAGAATCTCTTTATTTTGCCAGAACAGTAAGACTTCCAACTGCTGTGTGGATTAATAAAAATCTCTTAGGTCTGACATTTATTACAACATTTTAAGGATGCCAATGGTAGCTAAACTCTACCTGACCTTCCAGTGTTTATGAAGAGAAACAAACTCTGACCTCACAGCAAACTGAATCCATCTTTTCTGTGCTGGCAAACAGATCACTTGCCTAACTATTGCACTGGATTGAATTTCCAACTAGATCAAAGGCAGCAGCAACCAATTCAGCAACCAGGAAGAAGTCATCCATGCAAAATGGGCAATTAACATTAATCATATATTAAATTGTTCAAGCTGATAACTGGAACCTGATCACTATGGTAACTCTCATAAAATGGTGCTTATGTTAAACTGGGCATCAATCAGCTCTTGGTTCATGGGAACTTAAAGTATGGTTCATCATGTCTTCAGGAGTGATCAATACAAAGAATTAAAAACACACCAGAGAGAAGATCATTTAGATTCTATTAGCATTTTCTACCCTTTTCAGATCTTATACGCATATCCCAAACTTAAGCGTAGATATACTAAGAGCATCAACACCAGCATTTCGTTAGTATCAGGCAAGTTAAGGAAATTAACATAAGATTGTTGAGGGGGATGAAGGAAAACCTCCACTTGTCAATGGGTCATGCATTAAAATGTTAAGGCTCAAGTAGAACGACCCATGTTTATGTATTAATCTTATAATTATAATAAATTGAATTATTTATAGCTATGTTTTAAAATGGTGATGCTTCTTTCTCTCACTAATACTGAATTTCTGTTTCTTTTCCTTCAAAAACAAAAGAAATCTGATGGCATAGACAATTTATGGGTTGACTACACACTTGACAGGAAGTATAACTGTGAAGGTATTTTATACTTCATTTACTTGACTCTGTTCCCTATTTAAATGAAATGTGCTTTAAATCTGATGTTAGCACCTTTAAACAAGTTTACTTTTTGTCCTAAATTCACTGAATTCTAATAAAGACCTTCATATAATTAACAATGATTTTATAACATAAATGCTAGTGTATGACTTGAATTATTAGCAACCTTTTCTCTTTCTGCTTGTGTAATTCCTGTTAACATCAGTAGAATCAATGCACCTTAGTAAATCTTTTTTTTTTATTTTGAGACAGAGTCTCACTCTGTCACCCAGGCTGGAGCGCAGTGGTGCAATCTCAACCCACTGCAACCTCTGCTTCCCGGGTTCAAGTGATTCTCCTGTCTCAGCCTCCCAAGTAGCTGGGACTATAGGCACGCCCCACCACGCCCGACTAATTTTTTGCATTTTTAGTAGAGACGGGGTTTTGCCATATTGGTCAGGCTGGTCTCAAACTCCTGGCCTCAAGTGATCCGCCCGCCTCGGCCTCCCAAAATGCTGGGATTATGGGTGAGAGTCACTTCGCCCAGCCGCACATTAATACATCTTAAACTGAATCAAATTAAATAAATATTTCCCCTTCTATTGTGTATCATATCACTGTCAGACACAATGTTTGTAAAACAAAGTTATTCTTGAGTTTACAAAGTATCACTGTGGAAAACTTATGATGAATGGATAAGAAATTAACATTCACATTTGGACACATTCCACTAGTGCCTTACATTCTGCGTATTCTTCCCTCAAATCCCACTTTCCACCCTTCTCCTGTTCTGTCAGCAATATAGGAATGCTCTCCGATGCCAAAACTACAAACTTCTCTCCTTGTCCTCTCCTTTCATTTCGAGTCTTCAATATTTTTGTTCCATCATAATATGTGTTGCAATATTTCACTTCTCTCCATGTTTTTTACTTCTGACACTCTAATTCAAGCCTTCATCCCTTCATGCCCTAGTTATTTGTAACAGGTTGCCTCACTGTGTTCCAATCCATTCTAAATAAACTGCAATGAATTTTGATGAAATACCCCTTTCATTATGTCATATTTTGCTCCAGAACCTTCAATATTTCTGACTGCATACAAAATAAAGTCTAAATGATTTAGTCTGGTAACCTGCTCCAATATATCTTTTTTGCCTTTTCTCCAATTACTACTTAAATGAGTCCTCCACTCCAGCTAAACTAGTGAATTTACTACATGCTAACCGTAGTATTTGACCACAGAAGAAACATCTCAAGGTATCAGGTTTCCTGGGGCCATGTTTTGTTAAGCTCCACTGCCTTGGGAAGGCTTCTGTGTAATTTGCTGTAACTGCCGCTGGTTTTTTTTTTTTTTTTTTTTTTTGAAAGGTCACTGACTTTTCCTTTGTGTCATCAAACAGACTTTCTTTAATGGTTATTGCAAAGGACATGTTAATACCAGCAAGAAGGATACTATTGCAACTAGCCAAAATAATGTTTTCCATGCCTGATAAATGAAGTCTCATCAATAATCATCAGCCTGTAATATTGTCAGTCTATAATCTCACGATAACCTCAACAGTTAGCATTTCAAGTTTGAATGGCAATCAGAAAATGCAGCAGCATGGTGTTAATATTACAATTTAGGATATCTTAAGAACTTGAGCAAGTCCATCAGAAAGCTGATCACTATTAACCTGCCTGCATTAGTCTCTATGGATAGTGATACAGTCTGGAAGCACACACATTCAATCAATAAACTCAGAAGGCAGTTTCCTTGCTGACTTAAACTCCTTTTAAACTTTTGCTCTTCATGGATAAATATTAGCAACTAATCTTAAAATAAAAGCACCTTGAACAATCGTAGATATTCAAGGTAGTGCAGTGGAAAGCACTTAAAGTGAAATCTGAGTTCTAATCCCAGTTGCAGTAGGTAGAATTTCAAAATTGTCTCCATGACAAGATTTCCAGCCCTACTTAATAGAATTGTGAATATCATGAGCTATCATGCCCAAGATTATGTTACATTACACAGCAAGAGAAATTCTGCCAATGTGATTAAAATAACAAATCAGTTCACTCTGTGTTAATAAAAAATGAGATTGTCCAGGTGAGCCAATCTAATCATGTAAGCCCTTTAAAAGTGGAGAGGAGAGCCAGGTGTGGTGGTTCATGCCTATAACCCAGCACTTTGGGAGGCTGAGGAAGGAGGATCACTTGAGGCCAGGAGTTTGAGACGAGCCTGCGCAACATAGCAAGACAGCCATCTCTACAAAAAATTAAAGCATTATCTGAGCATCATGTCACACACCTGTAGTCCTCGCTACTCAGGAGGCTGAGGCAGAAGGATCACTTGAGCCTAGGAGTTTGAGGTTGCAATGAGCTATGATCGTGCCACTGCACTCCAGCCTGGGTGAGACAGCAACATACTGTCTCAAAAATAATAAATAAATAAAATAAAGTGCAAAGAAAAACAAAGAACATACCACTACCAGTTTGAAGATGGAGGGGGCCACAACAAGGAATGCAAATGATTTTAGTAAGCCAAACTCAGCCCTGTACTGACAGCCAGTAAGGAAACAGCAACATAAGCCCTACAATCATAATGAATTAAATTCTGCCAAAAATTTCAATGAGCTTTTGAGACAGTTATTCCCCACAGAGCCTCCAATATGAGCCCAGCCTGGCTACCACGTTGATTTCAGCCTTGTAAGACCCTAGAAGAAAACCCAGTCAAGCCCATCCAGACTTCTAACATACAGAACTGCAAGGCAATAAATGGGTGTTATTTTCAGTTGCTGTCCATCACAATTTGTTGTATAGCAACAGAAATCTAATATACTAGTTTGGCCATATTGAGCTGTGCGACCTCAGGCAAATCACATCACTATTCTAGAAGTTTTTTACCACATTAGGATTAGAGATGTAAACTTAATAATCTATGAATTTGATCATTATAACCATGTTATAGTTCAGGTCAGATGCAGATAATTCATTAACTTCAAAATATACTTCGTATTTTCACTTTCTAATCTGTCTGTTTTAATTTCTATTTTAAGTTATATTGAGGTGCAGGATTGGTCCTATGGAAAATTGAAAGATAAATAAATAAAACATGCAGTTTGTGCAAAATGCCATAGCATTTTCTCCAGCTGATACATACGTGTAATTAGTCAATATATCTAAACACTGGTTTCAAGGTTACAAGTGCTAAACAACTTAAAAAGGAAGGGAATCCTGACACATGCTACAACATAGATGAAACTTTTGGGCATCATGCTAAGTGAAATAGTGAAGTCACAATAAGACAAATACCATATGATTTCACTTACATGAAGTATCTAAAGTAGTCAAATTCATGGAAACAAAAAGTAAGAATGTGATTGCCAAGGGTTGAAAAGAGGGGAAGATGGGGAGTTGTTGTTCAATGGCTATAGAATTTCAGTTTTGCAAGATGAAAAATTTCCAGTGGTCTGCAGCACAACAATGTGAATATAGTTAACACTACCAAGCTGTACAATTAAAAATAGCTAAGAAGATACATTTTATGTTATGTGTATTTTACCACAGATTTTTAAAAGTTATATACAATTATAAGACAGTATTGTTGCTATGTTTGCAGTTACTAATAGACTTACATTTTCCACTGAAATCATTTTGAATGCCAAAGGAAAAAAATCTAGAGGGATACATCATGAAGTTTACATATTGCAAAACTTTCCTCACCTGAATACTAGAACTACCAACACTCCCAACTATCTCCTACATCTATAACACACACTTAATTTGCACCTTGAGACGTCCTTACTTCTAAGGCAGGATTAAGGAGTTGAAGCTTTGCATTTTAATTTCACAACTGTAATTTTTCTTAATATAACTGCAATACATTTTCATGTTTATATGCAGATTTGTTTCTCATTATTTTCCCTTCCCCATTCCTTACTTTGACAGGAAAACATTTGTGAGGCATCTCTCCCCCGAAAATCTTTGCCCCACACCTCTTTCCTTTTTCAAACTAATAAAGATGATTTTCATCAAGGACACAATAGATTATAGCAGGTGACTGGGAAATAGAGAAGTAAATCATAATTTTCTTTGTTGTTCATTATGGTATTATTATGGATAAATTGCTAGACTTTAATAAATGAGCATGAAGATCTTTAAAGTTGCCATGGCAGTGGACATGCTCATGAGCAATTAGATGTCATAAGAAGAAAAACTTCCAGAGTTCTGTTGTACAACAATGTGAATGTTGTTAACACAAATGAAGTATACACTTAAAAATAGTTAAGATGGTACACTTTATGTTTTGTGTATTTTACGGAAATTTTAAAATAAATAAATAAATAAATAAATAAATAAATAAATAAGATCTATTTTTTCCCTCCCTCACTTTGAACTTGAAGTCAGGTAAATTTGGGTAGATTCAAATATCACAAGTAAATCTTAAGACAATTGATTCCAGGAAACTGGATACAAACTAATACACTTAAAAAGTAATTTTTCTTTCTAAATTATAGTTTCCAGGAGGTAGCACAATACAACAAACCAGAAATAAACTGTGGACTCAAAAATGCTGCTTGAATTTACCTATGCCATTGATTCACTTTGTGGCCCCGAGAAACTTGACCTCTATGCTTCAGTTTCATCTGCTATTTGGTACCAAAATGATTTGACTCAAAGAATTATGAGGAATTGGCAGCTCCTCTCTCTAAAATCCTTCATAATGTAATAATGTACAAAAGGAAAAAAAAACAACCAACATGTGAACATCTTTGAGCAAAATTTTCCAATTTAAATGAATAGTCATCTGATATAATAGTGGTAGCACTATACAATCACTTTGATCATGTTTTTACAAGGATGTCTCTGAAGTTATATTTTCCCCTTTTTTAACTTTTCCTAGTCAACAGCAGTATCACTTTCAGTTACTCAATTTGTTAAAATCTCCTTTTCTCTCACTATTTTAAGTAAATAAACCTACCAAGATCCAATAGCTGACAAAGATTATTTTCCTATTTCCTTCTAGTTTCCAATGACTCAATATAAATAAACCCTTTCTATAAAAGACAACCTTTTCCTAAAAGCGTGATATTTCCCCCCATACTTATAACATATCTTTTGTTTAACCATAGAAAGAATAAAACAATAACATTTGCTTATTTAAGATTCTGCTTTTTTACATTCCCTTATGAGTACTTTTGACTCACCATGGAATGTTTTGCAATTTTCTGAAGCGAAATGAAATCAACAGTGGCCATGACCATTGTGGATCTGCATTTCATGTGAGAGTCCCTTTGATACTACTAATGATAATTTGAATATATAGTTCCTACCTAACAACGAGACAATGTTGCCAAAAGGGCAATGTAACTAAAAGCTGACTTCTATACAAAAATATGCATGAAATCAAATTCCACTAGTTAATACATTAGTTAACTTTAGATTCAAATCCTGTTCAGATGTACAGGCCTATAAGGATAGGATGGGTATGTTCCTGATGACTAACCATACAGTTTAGTGATCAGTTCAGTTCAGGATTAGAAAAATATCCCGATACAGCTCAAATTGTAAAACCGTAGTTTTACTGTCAGTAAATGTGTCCACTGTGTAAAACACCCTTACATTCACGGTTCAATGCCTAAAACCACAACATTTATCCTCAAATATGGGTAAGGGAAGAGAATAGAAAACATATTAAAAACCTCTTTGAAATTTACATGAGGGAATTCTATTTATAAATGAGAAATGAGACTATGTATGTATTGTGTGTTTTTGCTTTTATTTTGTGTCATGACTTTAGACCATTGCTCTTATATTAGTATTACTATAATTACTGTTTTAGAAAATAATTTCTGTGACAGAATCCCCTAGTGTATGTCAGGGGTGTCCAATCTTTTGGCTTCCCTAGGCCACTTGGAAGAATTGACTTGGGCTACACATAAAATACACTAATACTAACGATAGCTGATGAGAAAAAAAAATCTCACAATGTTTTAAGAAAGTGTACAAATTTGTGTTGGATCACATTCGAAGCTGTTCTGGCCACATGCAGCCCCCGGGCTGTGGGTTGGACAAGCTCGGTGTATGTATTTGTTGTCTTTGGACTTTCTCCTTCTGGGAATTATCTATTTTCTGCTTTGAGGGAATGCTATTTTTTGGCACAACAGGCTAGAAGATCACAAATATGCTATTAAATAACATTCCCTGAAGGCAAGAGGAGATAAAAATACACCTTTATATCCTGAAATGAAAAGTAGTCATCAGTGAAGACTTTTTCTAAGACAAATGCAATGAACATGTTCCTATTACATAATTGTTAAATAGAATTTAAAAGCCAGTCTTCAGTAGAAAAAAATATGTTGATTGTTTCTCTTTTTGTAGAATAAATAATATTTCTCAAGGTGAAAACCACTGAAGATTTAAAGTTCTAAAATATTTTGGGCAATTGAAGTCCATCAATGGGGTAGGCTGAACAATGAAACCTCCACTTCATGAGAGAAGTTGTGATAACCTTCACCCTAACACCCTTTCCAGCTCCAGGCATTTCCTGCAGGTGCACAGCACTTTCATCGTTTTAGGCATTTTATCAACTTAAATTATTTAATGTCAGCACCATGGTAAAGTGAGCAGTTTGTCCTACTCTACCTGTTGTAAACCATTAAATTAAGTAAGATATAGCTACTTGTCCAGACTCTTAAGTTTACTGTTAGTAGGGACTGTATCTTACCGTGTGAGTATTCCTTGATTGTGTCTAACATAGTTCTTGGTTCAAAGGAAGGAAGGAAAGAAAGAAGGAAGGAAGGAAGGAAGGAAGGAAGGAAGGAAGGAAGGAAAGAAGGAAAGAAGGATTATTCAAAATGTTTTGCCAGGATACTTTGTACTGTGCTATTGTAAGCACTTTTGTGAGTTTTCTTTGGAGTTTTGGAGGTAGAAATAAGATCCAAATATATTGATTTTTTTCATTAACCCCGCTCTAACTGGTTTAAAATACCAAAATTAACAGGTGGCAGGGTTACCAATTAGCACAACAGGAGACAAGCACACTGAATATTTTTACAATCTAAATTTAGAAGGGGAGATTTTTTGAAAATTGGCAGGATATAAAAACTAAAAAATGTTTTCCTTTAGTTTTCTATTTAGATGAAAGGATTGTTTTTGCTTCAAATGCATTTGGTCAGAAAAGCCATACACAAGTTCAGTTTGAAAAGTGGGGAAGCAAGGTCAGTTGTTAGCAAGGTCAGCAAGGTAACACAGTTTCTATTCAAATCTCAATTCTTTAATTCTCTTAATATTCACAGGAAAATTAATCATTTCAAATATGCTTCAAAGTAACTGAGGAAAGGAAGGGGTTTTGCATTTTCCTAAACCCTTGCTGAGAGGCTATTGTAATCCTTTATCTTCCTGTCTTCCAGAAAGTTAATGGCTGTGTTTAACTTATCCATTTATCCTTCAGATATAACATATTATGAGATGTTTTCCAATTAATATTAGCCATGAAAGAGTGTAAACTCTTTGACAGCTTCCTTTAAATTTTTGCAGTTACATGAGCATTTCACCAAAACCCTTCTTCAAAACTGCACACATTATAATTTACACATTAAATACAACAGGATTTCACCTTGGGCCTCCTTCCAAGAATAATCATTTTAAATCTTTTTATACTTTCATAAAAGGGTAATTATGAAAATAAAAGTGGCAGCAAAGGAAAGGTGTTAAGCAAGCATTTAGAATAATCTTTTCCATTTGAATACAAGAAGGTTGACGAAGAAGATAATTAGGTGGGGGAAGACAAATCAATTTATTTTGGTGAGAAGCAACATGTCAAGTGCAAAGCATGACACATCAAACTGATGGTGTCATAGATCTGTCTCATCATCCCAAGCACAATCTGCCTCCCTTTGTGTTGGAAGGATAGGAAAGCTCACAAATATGCCTCATTGGTATTTATTGGTAAAAAGTCGGCAATGAAATAAGCAT
This sequence comes from Homo sapiens, assembly GCF_000001405.40. NCBI lineage: Eukaryota > Metazoa > Chordata > Mammalia > Primates > Hominidae > Homo > Homo sapiens. The sequence continues at coordinate 86,500,867 of NC_000023.11, read as the reverse complement.
GCAAAAGGTTACTTACTGCTTGTACTCTCCTTGAGTTGAGGCTATCTAACAACTTATCAACTATATTTTCCCTAAGGATAAATAGTATGGTCATTAAATTTGTCTTTTGTTATAACCTGAAAGCATATAGTCTAATCTTAGAGTCGCTTCCTCCACACTCCAGGTGCTTCCCTTTTGCTAATTAAACATTAATATTGTGCAATTCTTGGTGCTCTAAAATTGGTGATTAATCACCTTCAAGAGGACCACAGAAAGTCAAATAAGTTGTGTTCCAGATAAATTGCAATGAATACAAGATCTTTCTTTCCTCTGAAACATTACACTAGAAGCTTACTGTTTATTTTTCAGGATTCTACTTTAAACGACATTTTTTTTACAGTTTTATTTCTTGAAGGAGTGAGTAGGCGTGTGGGATACAGATAGAAGATGTTCCTTAGGGAAGTATGTCATATTATTTAGAACCTAAAGTCAAAGGCAAAGGCATGGAGATTTTTCTCAAAGCTTGCTATGTATGAATTATTAGGAAATTCCTTCTCTTTTGTTTGGTTCTTGTCCCCTGAAATGCACTGATTAAGGTTAGGGTTTACATCCTCCTATGAACAAAATGTTATAATTCAAATGCCTTTAATCGGCGAAGACATACTGATCTATTACCAAACCAGTGTATATTGGATTTAAAGAGAATGTAGACAAAAACATAAAATTCAGGGGTCAAATGTATGAGTGCACGTATATGTATATAAACTGAAAATCAAGACTCAATTGAAATAAAAAAAAGATCCCCAATTGGACCTCAAGTTTGTTGTTTGTGCTCTGAAAACAATGATGTGATAAAACCAGCTTGTACCCACTTGCAGGCACCAATTGTGTGCATCAACTCCCAACTTCACATTGAGGACCTCATGTTGGTAGCTTGAAATTGGTCATGGCGGCAGTATTCACACCACAGAAATCAGCAAATCCTATCATGGCTCCATCCCACCCCTTCCCGCTCCACCCTCAGCCAGTTGTTAAACATTTACCAGCACATGATTGCCTGAAAGGAAAGCATTGTGGTAATATTTTCTAAATCAAATAATTCTTTTTGAGCTTGTCGTTTTCATTTTTTATGTGATTGAAGATAAAACCATTACAATTGCAATGAAAAATCATGAAGGAAGACATGATAATGTATCTGATTTTGGCAAAATTTAACTATGAAAAACACGTCTATGTACTAAAACACGTGAAAAGCCATTTTTCTTAACATTTAGCAGTTGTGAAAATGAGCATAGATGCATGGGAGTGTTACAACAGATTTGGGAGTTGCACTATTATATCTGTGATCTTGGGTAAATTATCTAGCCCTTCTGAATACCATCTCTCTATAATTATAAGCTGAAGATATTAGGCTAAATGACCTCCTCTATGCCTTGTGGTTTAATATTACAGGATTTTTGTGATCATACCATGGAAACTTTCACTTGCCTCCATACTGATCAGTTTTTCCTGTCTTTTTTTGGAGTGGGAGGGAATATCAATTGGAATGATTGGAATGGGTTATGGGAACTTAACAGCAACTCTCATCCCTTAGGGGTCTCAGTTCTGCCATTTACCTTCTTACATTATCAGGAATTCTCTTTCTGTATGTTACCTGTCCAGAAATGTCAATGAATAGCATGCTAAACCAGTTGCACTTCAAGCAACAATTTCCTTATTTCCATTGAAGATAGACAGCTTCAAATCCAAAGTTGTTTTTATATAACGTTGGCAGGAACTTTCAAAATAAGTAAAGTACCTATGCATATGTTGGTAGCTAATGCACAATGTTGCCAGATATAACTTGTGATATGATGAAAATATTTAAAATGCTGATTATTTTTAAAGGTCTCTAAGTACACGGGTAAAAGAAATACAAAGCAGCTAAGTAATCAGCTTCTATAACCAGAAACAACATTTAAAAGTAATATACAAATCAAAACATTCTAGATTAAGAACAACAAAGACAAAACTTATTTTACTTAAATTAGAATAAAAAAAATCTTGCACTTTTGAGAGAAATGCTATTCAACAGGCAGGCAAAAAATAAATATTCAAGTTCTGAAGGGAAAATATGGCATATGAGTAAAATGGTTTAGGTCATCTTTACATAATTTGATATTTCATTAAAATTTATGGCAATTCATAACTATAAGCCAGGTAGGATTCTTTGAAAGATTTACTTAAATTTAAAGATTCAAAGTAAAAACATAAAGTCAAAGATGACTCCTTAGTAACTGCTCATTTCCTAAGCAAGAACAATTCTGAGGAATGATTCACAGCAAGTGTGTTTCCACGTTGGAAGGTACAGATAACATGATGTGCAGAAACAGAATGCCTTTCCAAAACACGAACATGCTAATAATGCATCTATGCCAGGAACATAACTGTCAATGTTCTTATAAATCATCTACCTGTGAGGTAAAATATTGGCAAATATTACTCTTCAGCCATATGCTAAATCTATGGTCACTTAATTTTATTTGCCTGTTTAGTGAGGATGGATTTATGTATAAAAGAATTAGTTGATTATATTTCTGAAGATGGGTTTGTATTAAAGAATTAGTTTATCACATATTTTTATTCCTATTTTTAATACATGATATGCTTAAGGCAACAAATTACTTCTTTTAAAAAAAAAGAGGCCTAAGTCCCTTCCATAAATCTAGAAGTACTCAGACATTTCATTTATTTAGTCAGTCAGTGAGTGAATACTGAATGCCTTGATAAGAAAAAATTAAAAAGACATCCTCTCTCTGCACAGAGTAATGGTAATTTTTTTCCTCCTTGACTTCTTCTCCTTCAGTCCCCACTGTCTACTACAGCTTGGTTGTATATAATTGACTTTTTTTTTTTGAAAGACAGTCTCACTCTGTTCCCTAGGCTGGAGTGCAGTGGCACGATCTCAGCTCTCTGCAACCCCTACCTCCTGGGTTCAAGCAATTCTCGTGCCTCAGCCTCCCCAGTAGCTGGGACTACAGACATGTGCCACCATGCCTGGCTAATTTTTGTATTTTTAGTAGAGATGGGGTTTTGCCATGTTGGCCAAGCTGGTCTTGAACTCCTGGCCTCAAGTGACCTGCCCACCTCAGCCTCCCAAAGTGCTGAGATTACAGACATGAGCCACCACGCCTGGCCAGTATAATTGACTTCTACTGACCACTCATGACTGAGAGAGGAATATTACAACATAGAAAGCATAAAGCAGAGTGCCACACATCACCATCTTAAGACCTTTTTAACCATCCCTATCCCTTGGAAATTCTCACCAGCTCTCTTCCTCCTCAGACCCTAGCCTCCTGCCATGTTGTAGGGCTCCTCTCCTCTCTCCAGGAATCTTCCCCTGTACCTGCTCTTCCCAAGGACATGACCTGTCTTCCTGTCTCTTCCACCTGCCAATAAAAAATTCAAAAGTCCTTTTCTTCATTATGCCCATGATACTGTGCCATTTAGTTCTCCAGCTCCTTCCCAGACATGGATTAGCTTGCATACTCTATATCTAAAGTCCTCAAATTTGAGCAAGTATTAGCATCACGGGAAGGGTTGTTAAAACCAATATTGTAAGGCCTCATCCCCAGAGAATTTGCATTTGTAATGAATTCTCTGGAGCTGCTGATGCTGCTGGTGATCTCTCATACTCTGAGAGCCACTGCATATGAAAGGTCATTTAATAAGTTTTCCTAGTAGTAGAATCACCTACATACTCCTGACCTCATCATTAGCCATACAAAGGGAAAATTGGAGTTTTCAGATTAAAGTCTTTCTCTATCTCAGACCTTGGTAAGACAATCTCCCCTTGTAACATTTTCTGAAAGTGGAAGCCATTCTTAAATGTTCTGCCCTCTGTCCAGAGCATTCCTGTAATGAGGATTAATTTCATTAACCTTCACCTTCCTTCCTCCTCTTGTGTCCCACATCTAGGTAAGCTGATAAGAAAGCTTGGGGGCTCCCTGCTTTGGCATTGGTGGGAGATTCAAACCATGCAATCCTCTTTGCAAGTGAATCCTTACCTGGGCTAGCATCACCTAACCGCAATAAACACCCATTCCAGTCTCCTTTCCTAGCTCTTTCAAGCCATTTAGGTTCTGCTTGAGAGGCCTGCCCTGCTCTTCCTAGAGACCTGAATTCTGTAAGTAATAAACCTTTCCATAGCTTTTTCATGTGTGTGTGTGGCATCATCAGTCTCAACATCTGAACCAAACTTTGGACTGGAATCCCTCCTGCTTTTACAGGGTGATCATAACAATTCTCCCAGAGCTCAAAGGTCCCCCCTCCCTTCTCTTTACATTGAAAGAACCTAAGAAAAATCATCCTATGCAATTACATGGGTAGAATTAAGTAAAAGTTTACATATCAAATTTGAGGACCCTTCCCCTCCCCGTTACTGAAAATTGGGTACAAACATACCAGGAAGAAGATTAGAGAATCTAGAATTCTATACCTACACTATTGAATAAATGTCAGAGTAAAAATATTTTCTAATAATGTAAGATGATCTGAATCTGGAAATTTATACTAGCCCAAGAAAAACGTCCTAAGGATACTGATATAAAAAGAATATAAAAGAATTAGTATAAAAGAATTAGTTTATTATATTTCTGAAGATGGGTTTATGTATTAAAGAATTAGTTTATCACATTTTTAATTTAGATAAACGTTTCACTTCCTTCATTCAAATTGTTTTTCATTTTAAAAATCAATGATAATAATAGTTATAAACAAAATATAGAAATTTATCTATATATTAAAATATGCCTTGCTTTATATTCCATAGTGTAAAGATAATAAGCACGTCACACTTATTATGTGCAAAGCACTGTTCTGAGCCTTTATACATAATCACTTAATTTAGTCCCAAATCGTTCCACTTTCTAAAAAATGGAACAATAATAGTACCTACATCTTCGGTATATTATTGTACCTATTGTAACATCTTAGGTACTATTGTTCCATTTTTTAGAAAAGAAATATGAATCAAAGGTAGGTTAAATAGCTTGCAGAAGGTCACAGCTTGAACTTGAATTTATTTTCTTTCTTTTTTTTTTTTCCTAAGCTAGAGTGCAGCGGTATGATCAATCACAGCTCAGTGCAGCCTCAAACCCTTGGGCTGACTCAAGGGATTCATCCATTTGCCTTAGCCTCCTGAGTAGCTAGGAGTAGAGTCATGGACCACCGTACCAGGTTAATTTTCATATTTTCCTTTTTAGAGATGGGATCTCACTATGTTGCCCAGGCTGGTCTTGAACTACTGGCCCCGAGTGATCTTCCTGCCTTGGCCTCCCAAAGTGTTGGTATTACAGGCTTGAGCCACCATGCCAGGCCACACAGCTTGAATTCTTATTTGTCTGTATGAGTCCATAGCTTTGCTGACCAATAAAGTAACCATCAGCCTCATGTGGCTATTGAGCACTTGAAATGTGGCGAGTCTAAATTGTGATGTGTAATTGTAAAATACACACTGGATTTTGAAGTCTTAGTTAAAAAAAAAAAAAGTCTGGATGCAGTGGCTCACCTCTGTAATCCCAGCACTTTGGGAAACCGAGGCGGGTGGATCAGAAGTTCAGGAGCTCAAGACCAGCCTGGCCAATATGGTGAAACACCATCTCTACTAAAAAATAAAAATAAAAAAAAAATAATAACCAGGCCTGGTAGCAGGCGCTCGTAGTCTCAGCTACTTGGGAGGCTGAGGCAGGAGAATCACTTGAAACTGGGAGGCGGAGGGTGCAGTGAGCCAAGATTGCACCACTGCACTCCTGCCTGGGTGACAGAGCAAGACTCGGTCTCCAAAATAAATAAATAAATAAATTAATTAATAATGCAAACTATCTCATTAATATTTTATGTTTTTATATTTTGCAATGATATTTTGGCTATATTGGGTTAAACAAAACTTGTTAAAATTAATTTCACCTGTTTCTTTTTACTTTTTAAATGCGACCACTAGAAATATTGAAACTACATGTAACATTTGTGACTCACATTATATTTCCATTGGGCAATGCCCATTTTGAATATTTATATACTACTCATATTTGTAAATACTGGTGCATTATTGCAATTGATAATTTTGGTTTTTAAGTTTCATGTCATTGACATAAAATAAGAGTCTCTGAAAAGGCCAAGATGACATGAAAGAAGATTAAGGTACCACTTGTTGACTCAGAGATGGAAAAGAATTATGCACAGTGGTTTATACCAAAAAAATACAAGATTAAACATATTGATGAGATTTCAAGGTTCAGAGTTAGATGCCCAATCAGAGCTCTGAAGTTAAACATTTTATTTGCTCATTGCGCTCATTCACCATGTGACATTTCTTACATCCTTATTGGATATTGTCATGTAACTCCCATATTTAAAAATTTAATTAACCTTTCATTTTCCTAAATGTATTTCAATTTCTTTGAGCAAGCCTGCATCTTTACACTTACTTATATCCACCTTTGATGCTGAGAAAAAAAGAGTGCTGGGTTGGGCTCATAGTAGCCACTCAGTATCTATTAGTGAGTTCTAAACGTTGACCCAGAAAGGAAAACTTCTCATTTAGAAGCAATTATAAATCAAGAGCAGTCCTTAAAAACAAGTAAGTTTTTAAAAGTCACTCCCTGCAACTTTCCTTCATTTGTTAAAGGCTTGTTCCATGTACATAAAATGTCATAGCTACATCTTCCTGTAACTTTGTTAAATTATTTTCTCTCTTGCAATCATAGAGGTTTCACTGCCACTCAGAACTAGGCAGCGATCAACAATGGCCAGGCCAGAGCAGGGCCAGTACTCTCTCCATTTAGGACACAATAATGGGCTGAGAGCACCTTGTGGCCTTCTAAGTCATACGGCACCAAATAGATCTCCAAGAATTATGACCAGAGTTTGACTTTGGAGCCTAGCTCTGGACAGATCATTTTTTCAGGGCAATCAAGATTGCTTCTATCCTACTCTCATTCTAGCGTTCAAGTGAAAAGGTCTCTAGCAATTGATGAAACTGTCTGGCTCACACCCTTCATCTATCTAATGTATTATTATTATGAAGTTGTTATCTGCCGCTGTTTTGTAACAAACACATAAGTAGTTTAAATTATTTTACTATCAGGCAGACCATGTTCTGAACCTATTATCTATCAGCTATACCAGCTCACATATACCATCTGTCTTTTAATGTCTATAGGAATCATATTCCTAATCTGTAAATTGGAAGTATTAACACCTACCTTGCAGAGCTGTAATAAAGATATACACATACTCACATATGCATGCACACATGCATGTACACAAACATATACATGAGAGAGAGAAAATATGCCTTCAGAGTAGTGCCTGGTACATAGTCTTTAACAATCCTGCCTAATAATTTGGCAGTTATTAATGGTAGTAGTAGTATAATTAAGAATCTTAGAACTGCTAAATTGGTATAGTTTACTGAATTCTAACTTTTTGCTTTCACCGTGATATAGTACATATTGGGCATGGTATTTTGTTTTTCTTAAACCTCTTATGAGTACTGTTTGAGTTAAACTCAAAACTCCTAAGGGAACCTAATAGTATTGAACCACAAATGGTGGTATAGTGAAAAAGTACTGTTCATGATTCATTTAGGGTTTATATTCACTTTTTTCTTATTTGTCAAATTTAACTTGAAAATGCAAATCAAAACCACAAGGAGATGCCATCTTACACCAGTCAGAATGGTTATTATCAAAAAGTAAAAACAAAAAAACAAAAAAACAAAACAAGAAACTGATGCTGGCAAGGCTACAGAGAAAAGGGAACACTTACAGACTGTTGGTGGGAATGGAAATTAGCTAAGCCACTGGGGAAAGCACTTTGGCGATTTCTCAAAGAAATGAAAACAGAACTACCATTTGACCCAGAAATTCGATTACTTGATATATATCCAAAGAAAATAAATCATTCTACCAAAAATACATATACACTCATATGTTCCTCACAGCACCATTCACAATAGCAAAGACATAAAATCAACGTAGGTGCCCATCAACAGTGGATTGAATAAAGAAAATGTGGTACATATACACCATGAAATACTATGCAGCCATAAAAAAGAAAGAAATAATGTCCTTTGCAGCAACATGGATGCAGCCGGAGGCCATTGTCCTAAGTGAATTAACACAGGGACAGAAAATCAAAATACTGCAAGTTCTCACTTATAAGTGAGAGCTAAATATCAGGTACTCACAGACGTGAAGATGGCAACAATAGACACTGGGGACTACTAGAGGGAAGAGGGAGGAAAGAGCAAGGTTTGGAAAACTAACTTGGATATTATGCTTACTACCTGGGTGACAGGATCATTTGTATCTCAAACCTCAGCATCACGCAATATAACTTTGTAACAAAATTGCACATGCACCTTCTGAATCTACAAACAAGTTTAAATAAAAAATGAACTCAAAATATATTCAAGTATTTTTACTTGTTCTATCTGGGAAACTGAGGCAAGAAGGGAAATATTTTCTATTGGTTTTAGAGGTAATTGTGTTGTAGTGGAAAAAGTTTGAATTCATCCATAGCTGCTAGGAGATCAGTACACACAGCTGGCAAGACCTTATCCAGGTTTTAGAATACTATGTGTATTTTATTTGTCTGATTCTATTCCTAAAACAAAACACAGACGTGGAAGAATTTGTCATTAAAAAAAAACTAAAAGTATGATATGGGTTGTTTTTGATCTGTAATATGTGACAACATGAATGAACTGTGAGGATATGCTAAATGAAATAAAGCAGTCACAGAGACAAATACTGCAGGATTCCACATACATGGGCTATCTAAAATAGTCAAACTTATATAATCAAAAATTGTTAAGAGGATAAGTCTCATATTAAGTGTTTTTAACACAATAAAATTTACAAAAATATAGATAGGGTATGTTGATGTTAAAAGGCACATGTATTAATTATATGACTATCATTTTTATGAAAAGAAAATGCAAAATATAGATTGGGTAACATTTAATGGAACTCCCTCATCTTCCTGATTAATACTGAAAGCCAAGAAAGGTGAGTTGTCAGTTAAAGGTCACCCAGCAGGTAAGTAGCAGAGTAAAAGCTAGAACTCAGTTTTGCTGCTTTTAGTATTCTTTCAACTGTCGCATCCCGACTGTCATTTTGTTTTCTCTTTCTTAAACATTGAGAACATCCTTTTAACTCTTATAAAGACAACACGTGCAAAATGTTTTTGTTGTTTTCATGGTCAAAATACGTTCTGAAAATATTTCCATAGGGTGATGGGTGGGAAGGAGAGAGACTCTCTCTGTGAAAATAAAGGGTGGAAACACTCTGAAAATGCTATGAAAATATTTGTCTGCCTTAACTGCCTAAAAGAAAACATTTATGTTGGCCATAGTCACTAAAACATTTGCTTCCTTTGGAAACATTTGCTGCCAAAATAAAGGTTTGTTTCTCTTTTCATATAGAAGCAAACATTTTGTTGAATAAAATTAGAGGTCCTTGTATTTCAAAACTCCCCTTCCTGCACAGGTTTAACATTTTGAGGTGGCAACTGTGTTGCAACAAAATACCTATATGAGTAATGAAAACTTCAACCATTCTGTTAAGAAGTGTGTCCTGTACAATGTATGTCCATGAGACTGAAATATCTGGCGTAAAAGCATTGTGTACAGCAGGTAGTAAGAAGACAGACAGACTGAATTTTTCACATTTTAGGCTATAGTTTTATTTTCATGTAGAACTATTCTCAGGATTTCTCTTTACTGAGTGCATAACATATGTTAGGAAACTCAATTTACTTCTACTTGGAAATTATTTCTGATAATTAGGCTGATTTTGTGTATTTTATGTTGTCATTTGGCTAATGATTCCAAACTCTAATCCTCCAAATCTGTACTCATACTCATGCCTCCACTCAAAGGAGCTGCCTACTTGTACAAGAAATAGGCTATAACTCTCTACCCAAAAAGTCCACCAACGTAAATATTCTAATGTTTACTGCATGACTTTGTTCAGTAAATTAGTAGCCTCTCAATGGGAAAGCAGCTTCATCCTATATTAAATGGAAAATTGAGACAATTTTTATCACAGAGAAGGTTAACCTGATAATTCTCAATCTATACATCAGAATTACCTATAGAGCTTTTAAAAATTATAATCACCTAGGCCTTATCCCAGACTTATCGAATAAAGGAAGGTGAATTTTAAGCCACAGAAAAACATCATAGGATATAACCAACACGTAGCCATCTCAAACCCGGATAACTCAAAGGGAAGCATGTCTCTGGATTAGGATCAGTTCTTCCAGAATTGAACAAAGGTGGCCAAAGGCAGTTGCTATATTCCATCGTTACATATCTTGGCATTATTATTCAGATACAGTCAGACTGACTGTCCATTTCTATTTCTTAGAGCCATCTCCCCTTTTGCTTCCAGATTATGATACCAGTGATAACACATAGCTCTAAGATCCACAACTGCCTCCAGCACAAGGATCAGTAGTGGAAGTTTACCCTCTTTTCTTCTCTATGACATTCTGCAAAATTAACCTGAGCTCAGTTGTTTTCACAATGAGACATGCAAAACCTTGCTTAGAATGAGTTGTATGTTGACCCAATAAGGCAAAAAGGAGATATCTATATTTGCTATTTCTTCTGATTAGGAAGAAAAAATAAAGAATAGCTTGCCTGCATTTTATAACCTACATGATGTGCGTAGTACATAATGTGGGTGTTCTCTAATTAAAATGTATGAGGCAAAATAAATTAAAGAGTGAATAAAAAAGCACATGGATGCAACTACGTCCAAATGGTGGCAGACAAAAAGAGTTTAGCATTCCTTCCAAAGTATACTGTGACTTCCTGGCTTTGATTACATAGCTTTTTCTTAAGTAAACGTTAATGACAGAGTAAATTTCCTTGTCCAAAGACGCTATTTTCTAGTAACTTTCTAGTCTATTTATTTTAAGTCCTCATGTAAATCATACTAGGTAGACATTCTAAATAATTACAAACAATAAATTCCAAATTTTATCCAGAGTAATTTTCTCCTTCTACCAACAAGACAATATTTTTCCAATTTTAATGCACAATAACGAGCACTATACATCTAGGAAGATAATGTATGAGGATATATTACTTTAAAAAAATTCGGTTAGAAAAGTGACAGTGAACGCGGTTTAGACTAAAATGTAATTTATGAAGCGAGATCATTTATAATCTTTTTATTTAATTGACAAGTAAAACATTGTATATATTTATGGTGTACAATCATATTTTGATACATGTTTACATTGTGAAATGGCTAAGTCAAGCTAATTAACATACGCATTACTTCACATATTTTTTTGAGGCAAGAACGTGTAAAATCTTCTCTCAGCAATTTTCAAGTATACAGTATATTATTATAGTTACCATGTTGTACAACAGAAAAAAATCTATAATTTATATTATTCCATATTATGTGATATTGTTATTTGTTTATCATAATTCAGGAAACATTCTTCCATAAATATATGCCTGAGGTTTTATTAAACTTAAAAATGAGAACTTTGGGGATTTTTTTAAATGCATCTATCTAGAGAAGTATTAAAATCTATGTCATCAATCAATTATTTTTGAGTATCTACTAGATACAAAGTCCAATCTCAGGTGATATGAATGAGGTGCAATAGGAAATATGAGGTATGAATCTTATCTTCAAATACTTTGGAAATTAAGATATAAATTTATGAACAGATACCTAAAATTACAAGAAAACATAACATTAGTGTAAATTAAGATCATTCAATTCTACGCAGATTCAAAATAAGATCTCAGTATGGGAATAGATGAATAAAGTATCATGCTGGATTACTGGCTATAGCCACTGACTGCCTGCCTTATAGATATGTGCTTGCATCATCAGGAGTTGAAATAAGAGGAACATATTTCACTAGTCACACTTCTGTATCGTTAGGTAATGATTATATGTCGTGGTTAGCGAATACTTACTATGTACCAAGCATTTTTCTGAATTTTTTATATATATTGACTCATTTAATACTTTGAACAACACTGTGAAATATGTATTGTTATTTCCATGCTAACTTCTCAATGATTTCAATCCCTGTTAAATACTTCTAAAGTTTTATTTTATTTTTAATTGACAAATAATAATTGCACATGGGGCACAAGGTGATGCTTCAATACATGTATACATTGTGGAATGATCAAATCAGGCTAATGAGTAATCCATTACTTCAAATATTTATATTTCCTGTGGTAAGAATATTTAAAATCCTCACTTTTAGCTATTTTTGCCATACTCATTTTAAAGATAATGAAACTGTGGTTCAAGGGGTATAAATGACTTGGCCAAGTCGTAACGCTATTACTCTGGGGAACTGAGATTAGAGCCCAGTAAATCTGAATCTAGATCCAGCACACTGACTCACTATGCTATGTTATCTCAAGAGCCAAAGAATATAAATAATCCAAGAATATTAAAGCTGAATGAAACCATAGACAAGAGTTAGTGGAAATTCTTATTTGTACAGATAGGGAAGCAAAAGCTCAGTGGGGTAAAACGACTTGCCTATCTGTGATCACACAGTTTGCTAGGGAAAAACCATGATTGCAACCCACATTTACTGACTTCCAATCCATGGTTCTTTCCATAACAATGACTATAATCCTTTTAAATATTTCTTCTTATGTTTCATTCATCCCATCTTAACTATTAAAAATGATGCATATATAAAATTATCTGAGCTGAATTTGATTGTGTAGAAGCAACAATAAATGGAAACATTGAAATATAAAGTGTGATCTAGAAAGTGTGATAGATGAGTGATAGATAGAGATATAGATACAATAAGTATAATACCTACCAAAACTTTGCAAGTAGACTTTATTGTCCCCAATTTATAGAAAACTAAGGCTCACAGAGATTAGATAACACAGCTAATGTCACAGAGCTAGTATAAGAACTCAAAAGCACATCTGCTGGACTCTAAACTTCTACATTATTTGTACTGAAAAGTGGTTATAATTTGAAGATATTTTGCACCTTTTACTTCGTGGAGAAATATTTTTGGACTTTTATAATAAGTTCAAAATTTATTTTTCCAATTTATATGCTGTTGGCAAGAATGGTTGCAATTAAAATACCATTTATTAATTAAACACCGTATTATTTTTATAAAGTATTTGTCATTAAGCTGCATCTAATGAAGTAAAAGAAAAGTTGATTAAAATCTCATCAAGTGTTTTGCAATATAAGACTATAATTTATAAAAGGATTATCTTGAAAAGTGAGTATGAGTAACAGTCTTACATGTTAACATGCACTGCAAAGAAGCTCTATCCACTAAGAATTGAATTGTCAAATTAAATAAATATTTACTGACCACCTAGCTGGTGCAAAATGCTCTGCAAGATCTCCTCACCACCTTAGGCACACATGGCCAGGGCTATGTGGGACTTACTAATTTCATCTTTAAGCCTACCACCGTTCCTGGAATAGCACCTTATACACAAATGTAAGTTGACTTACATTACAGAAAATGTTATACCGGCTTCACAACATTGAACAGGAAAGAATATATAATAGGCTTTTGCTAGCGTTGAAATGACTACAACCAGGGTGATTACATTTAAAGTGAGTACAATTCCAATGTGCCCATAGTTGAATAGTTTGGCTTCCTCTGTGAAAGTTGGGGCAACCTAAGAGTTTATGTTTAGCTAGCTTCTATGTTCTGATTTTAAAAGTACAGAAGAGAGGCATACTGATCTCTACTTTAAAAAATAATAGTATATGTTAAAATTGGTGTCTATATATTCTGGTCCCTTTAGAGAAGAAATTACAAAACTTAGTCTCACACTGCTCCTGGACAAACTCTTCACTGGCATTGTGTTTAATATTTTGGTTAAGGAATAGCTTTGATCCCATCACATAGCCCATTATTATAAGTCCTGTTACTGTTGCTAGATGATTAATGGGAAGAAAAATACTGGTAAATTAACCCATAGTATATGTCTAGCACTATGCTAAGGTTCACATCAACTTAATTCTCTAAATAGTTCCATGAAATTGGTACTACTATCCCTATTTTAAGGTGAGAAGTTAAGCCTCAGAGAGGCTAACTTGCTGAAAGCCAGACAGCAGGACCAGAATTGTAGCCCTTATCTGTCTGACTATATATATTATATTGTATGAGTTGATTTTTCAACATGAGGCAAATGACTTTTCCATCTTTAATTTCTAATAAACAGAAAAGCCCCTCCTCAGAGTGGAAAGAAACAGTCTCAACCGTAAGAGAACCAGAATAGCAGGAGTCTGAAGAGGAGAATTGTGCATGGCCATCTCCCTTGGAGATTGAAACATCCTGTATCTCCATGATATAGCAAACCTAGATAAAGGCAAATTAGGTAAAGGAAGCTGGAACTTCACACTAGATGTAATTTTCAAGTCAACATACCAGACAGAAACTAAGTAAGTGGACTACAAGTTTCACAGTTGTAAGCTTGGTATAAACAAAAATAAATATGGAAATGATTAAACAAAAAAATACTGTGATAGAAGAAAACTAACAAAAAATGGAGCTAGTTCAGAGGAAGGAGTCAATGATGACTTCATAGAAAAAAAAGGGATCCTTAGGTCTCAAGATTGAATAGAACCTGCACAGGGAGAGTATACATGGTAGACACATTCCAGACAAAATCATGAAAATGGCAATTAAGTTGTCTTGGGGCCAGTCAGCAGGGAAACAGTCCTGCCAGGTAAAAATGAGGGTATGGTGGGACCAGTGGAAATAAATAATAACAATAAGTTGCATAGGGCTCACCAGGTGCCAGGCACTCTTCTAAGTGTTTTGTATTAAGTCATGTAATTCTAACAGCAATCCAGAAACTTAGACATGGTTAATTGCTCTGCCCAAGGTCACACAGCAGGTAGTGTCAGAGCTGGCATTTAAGAACTATGAAGTATAATTCCAAAGTTTGTGCAATTAACCACTACAATGATACATCAGAGGAGAAACACATTCAAGTAAAAAAGTATAGCTTAATTGTTGCTGTAGTCAAAAATTAAGCTCTTGAAAATAAATTAAGAGAAAACAAATATGTGGGAAAAACAGTTAAAAGGTAGGCATAATTCATTACTGATCAAGAGTTTTTTTTATATTTATCACTTATAGGCAATGTGATTTACTATAAACTATAAATCGGTTGGAAGATTTTTTAAATTTATAATTGACATAGTAATTGTACATATTTATGGGATACAATATGATGTTTCAATACATGTATACATAGTGTAATGATCATATAAGAGTAATTGCCATATTTATCACCTTAAACATTTATAATTTCTTTGTGATGAGAATATCTAGGTATTTTGAAACATATAACACATTACTGCTAACTCTGGTCATCCTACTAAGCAATAGAACACCAGAACTTATCCTTCCTATCTAACTGTAGGTTTGTACCCATTGACCAATCTTTCTCCAGTCCCCTTTAGCCTGCCCTCCCCATTCTCTGGCAATCACTATTCTACTTTCTACTTCTATGAGATCAACTTTTTAGACTCCATATATGAGTGAGATCTTGCAGTGTCCTCTTGGAATATATTTTGTAAAGAATTAACAGCATTTACAGCAAACTTTAAGTGGATCTATTACATTCATATCCTTTTAATTCATTACCTGATTGCATAGAAAGATTAAAGAGGAAAAAATGCTTGTAAATTTTATAATTTTTAATTAATATCTTTTTTCCTAATCTGTATATTATATAAGGTTTGAAAAACTATTATCAAATATAGGTTAAAAATACACACACAAAAAAATACACATGCAGAGCTACATTTATACATACTTCCTATCTAAGAATAAAGTGGACGGAGACAGCTGTATCTCTATCAACTCTTTCAGTTATTTTTAAGATAATTATACTTTGAAAGTCATACACTGTATTAACCTCCCAACAATATGTGCTAAGAAATTTCATCTGCAGTTGTCATTGTTTAATTTTGCATAGTAAAATATACGGTAGTATCTGAAATATGCTCAAAGATTACATTTGAAATTTAAGACATTAATTTTCAGATCACTTATACTTTCCTGTATCTATCATATAAGATGAACTGTAACCACTGTAATATAAAAGCAATGTTTTTAAAATTAAAGACAAATGCCTTTCTACTTTAAATATCTTGATTTTTCTATGAAACAATGACCATTGAGTACAAAAATGTGAATAATGTGTGTAAAATTATGATTTAAACCTTCACCCACTTCTTTCTAAAGACAGCAGCCAAAAACCTGAATAAGTCAGAGCGCCTTTGAAGATACTTAATTAAAATCTAATACCACATTCTTAAAAGCTCACATAAATTAAGCTGTCATTCAGGAGATTTATGCATTCACATTTGCATATTACATACAATTCATCAATTACTCATGTTTGAAAGCAATGCCTTTCCCAGGGTGCTGAACTGCCAACAATGCCAACAGACACACCACAACACACAAAACCATACCACTTGTGCCATGGAGAAAGCCACTTCCATATGGTATTTCTTTGCACATCTGCAGAGCCCCAAGCACGCTTAGGAAACTATGACTATACTTTGATAGATTCTATTCAGCTAAATCAGTTTAGCAGAGATTAACATTTTACTTAATCTTGATGCAAATGTTTAGTGGTGAGAATTCAACAGCCCTTCTCCCACTCATAGTAATGTTTTAAAGTTACAGTAGAGATACAGAATAATTGCTGAGCTTCAGCAAAGCCAGACAAAGTAGTTAAATTACAAATCATCCCTCCAAGCAAATAGAAGGCAATTACATGTTTAGCATGGCACATATGAGTAAATAAAAAATATACATATAACTGTGTTTTTGGTGTGTACATACATATATGACACTCATGTATACATACACGCACAAAAATAGAGAAAGAGTGGTGAAAATGTCAGAGTCTAGAGTGGCTTATTCAGAACACTTTGAAAGCTTTAGATGTAGCAAAAACAAGATACTCATAACTTTTCCTGACTGCATTTTTTTTTGAGACTAGGTCTCACTATGTTGCTGAGGCTGGGGTACAGTGACATGATTACGGCTCACTGAAGCCTCCGCCTCCCAGGCTCAAGCAATCCTTCCACCTCAACTCCCAAGTAGCTGGGACCACAGGCACATGCCATCATGCCCAGCTAATTGTTGTATTTTTTGTAGAGACAGGGTTTCATCGTGTTGCCCAGGCTTGTCTCGAACTCCTGGGCTCAAGTGGATCACTTGAGCCTCAGCCTCCCAAAGTGCTGGGACAACAGGCACGAGCCACCACACACAGCCTGGCAAGTCTTTCTTAGCACTATTTCTAGAAGCAAAGAGAAGCAATGCTACATTTTCCTTATGGGATATAAGTTGTTACAAGACACCTTTATCCATTATACATACTGAGAACAAAGGCCATTCCAGTAGTCCCAAAGGAAAAATGATTTGCTTATAAGACACCACATATAATAAAAAGAAAGAGGCAATTCGAATGATATAATGAGGTAAGCTATCTCCCGCATAGATCAATGATTATCACAATATTTTGCATGAATTTATTTATTAACATCAGGTATATATTTATTTTAGAATTCCAAGACAACCATTGGCTGGTAAAGATGCTGCTTGGACCAAGGACAGTTGTTCTGCCCCACACAATCACTTCCTCTCTTTTTCTTTTTTTTTTTTATGCTTGTTTTTTTTTTATTATTATACTTTAAGTTTTAGGGTACATGTGCACATTGTGCAGGTTAGTTACATACGTATACATGTGCCATGCTGGTGTGCTGCACCCACTAACTCGTCATCTAGCATTAGGTTTATCTCCCAATGCTATCCCTCCCTCCCCCCCACCCCACAACAGTCCCCAGAGTGTGATGTTCCCCTTCCTGTGTCCATGTGATCTCATTGTTCAATTCCCACCTATGAGTGAGAATATGCAGTGTTTGGTTTTTTGTTCTTGCGATAGTTTACTGAGAATGATGGTTTCCAATTTCATCCATGTCCCTACAAAGGACATGAACTCATCATTTTTTACGGCTGCATAGTATTCCATGGTGTATATGTGCCACATTATGCAAATCAAAACCACAATGAGATACCATCTCACACCAGTTAGAATGGCAATCATTAAAAAGTCAGGAAACAACAGGTGCTGGAGAGCATGTGGAGAAATAGGAACACTTTTACACTGTTGGTGGGACTGTAAACTAGTTCAACCATTGTGGAAATCAGTGTGGCGATTCCTCAGGGATCTAGAACTAGAAATACCATTTGACCCAGCCATCCCATTACTGGGTATATACCCAAAGGACTATAAATCATGCTGCTATAAAGACACATGCACATGTATGTTTATTGCGGCATTATTCACAATAGCAAAGACTTGGAACCAACCCAAATGTCCAACAATGATAGACTTCCTCTCTTTTTCTAAAATACACCACCACTTCCTGTATCATCTGAGCATATACAAAACTTCTAAAATTTATGGAAACTGGAGAATTTATTTTTATGTATTTGTATTTTTATAAGAAGATGCAACAATTTTAACTGTAAGTTGAAAATTTATAATTGCATAAATTTATGGGTTACAAAGTGATGTTATAATTTATGAATACAATGTGGAATAATTAAATCAAACTAGTTAACATATTGTTTACTGAAAATACTATACATTTTTGTGGTGAGAATATTTGAAATTTACTCTCAGCAATTTTAAAAGGTAAAATACTCTGTTCTTAACTGTATTCACCACAATGTGCAACAGAGCTCAAAAAAAGAATAAGACATATTCTTTCTGTCTAAAGTCTTTACCAGTTGATCATGATTTAAAATTTTTAAATGCGACAAAAATACCATTTACAAAATAGCATCAATGATTGAGTGTATTTAACAATAAAATAGCTTATAATAGAGCAAATGGATGAATAAAATAATAATTCATGCTATTGCATGTTTAACAAACTGGCAACAGAGAAAATTGATCAAAAAAGTCAAAGGAACTTTGCCTTGTAAGAATTAGACCCAAAGGGCTCCATAATTATCTGTCATCCATTCAACGTTGTATCTATAGTTAGGAATGTACATGATATGAGCTCCAGGGATCTTCCAGATTCATTTCAGGTCCTGATCAACTGTGAGCACAATGTAAACTTGTGCTGAATTACTCTCGTATGAAGCAGTCATCTGCATAAGTGATTTAATGTGTGCATGCTAATTATTCAAATCTTCTATACTTGGTGATCCTTAGAGAAACTAGCTATTTCTGCCTAAATTTTTCAATTTCAGCCATTATGAAGTCATTTATATAGGGATATACTTGGTATACAGATAACAACTAGAGAATTTAAATGTTCTTCTCTCATTTATTTTATATAGGATATTTACTTACGGAGAAGATGGAATTTTTATAAGCATGTGTGTTTGTGTGAGTGTGTCCTGATGCTAATATTCAGCAAATGACTCACAAAACTCAAATCCATAAAAACATTTTGACTGCTCACTATTTACAAGTCAATGGATTAGCTGCTGTGGGGAATATAAAGTTGTATTATACAGGATCAGAGTTCATAATCTAATGAGAAAGATATATGTGTACAAAAATGGCAATAGAACTGATATAAACAATGAATTACAGAGCACAAAAGAGAGAAATATTTGACCTGAGGAGACCAAAGGAGGTGGCAATTTGTCTAGTTTTTAAACATGAGTAGGATCAAAATGTAGACTTCCACGAATGTGCATGCCTTGTAGAGAAGACATACTAATCTTTCTCTGTATCACTGCAATTTTCATATATGTGCTCCTAAACAATCCCATAATAAAAACTAACGTGAAAATTTGGCTAATGATCAAAGCAGAAAAACACAGGAACAATAAGAATATCTCCCATGTTTATGTGAAATAAATATTGTATCTCTTAATTTTATACTATTTTCCATGGTTTATCCAACTGATTTAGTATAAACTGTGTTTTTACATACATCAAATATTGACCATTAGACAATCTTATATTCTACTGCCATATGATAGTAGCCTGAGTTAACCATTAGCTGGAATACAAACATAGTAACATTAGTGGAATTATTTTATCAGAAAAGATTATATGGTTTTTATTTCTAACATCTTCTTTAACTTGCAAAATCATGATTTCCTTAAAACAGATAAAAGGCCTATATTTGTCATGTAAGTTAAATCCAAAATTATTACAAGAGGCAGTACTTCTTACTTTTTGGAATGGGGTTTATGTACTTGATACTGTACTCTGAGCCTGGGGGAACTTGCCACTCTGAAGGGAAACACACAGGCCTGGCTGGCTTCACCACTTACTGATTGTAGAGCTTCAGGTTCTTGAGTGGACATAGGTGATAGCAAGGTAGAGTTACAGTAGACCTTTGGTAAGACCCAGTGTTGTGCTGGCTTCAGGTCTAACCCAGCACAATCCCAGTGGTGGTGGCCAAAGGGGTGCTTGTATCATTTCACCCCCACCTCCAGTAAGCTCAGAACAGACAGAGAATCCATTTGTTTGGCAGAAAGTAAGGGAGGAGAACAAGAGTCTCTGCCTGGTAAGTGAGAAAATTATTCTGGATCTTATCCAACACCACCAAGGTGGTACCTCTGCAAGTCTGCAAGAACCACAGCATTATTGGGCTTGGGATGCCCCTTGATGTAGATATGGCTTTAATCACAATGCCCAGGTTCTTTTGAATACATGAAAAACCTTCCCTGAAACGATGGGTACAAACAAGCCCAGACTATGAAGACCACAATAAAAAACTAACTTTTCAATGACCAGACACAGAAGAATGTCAGCTGGCATCAGGACCATCCAGGAAAGCACAACCTCACAAAATGAACTAAATAAGCCACCAGGAATGAATTTTGTAGAAACAGAGATACGTGGCCTTTCAGAACAAGAATGCAAAATAGTTGTTTTGAGGAAACTCATAGAAATTTAAGATAACGCAGAGAAGGAATTCACAATTTTATCAGATAAATTTAACAAAGATATTGAAATATTTAAAAAGAAGCAGAAAATCTGGAGTTGAATAATACAATTGACATACTGAGGAATGCATCAGAATCTTTAAATAGCAGGATTGGTAAAGGTGAAGAAAGAAATAGTGAGCTTGAAGACAGGCCAATTGAAATACATAGTTACAGGAGACAAAAGCAAAAAGGATTTTAAAACTTGAAGCTTGCCCAGAGGACCCAGAAAGTTACCTGAAAAGGACAAATCTGAGTTATTGGCTTAAAAAGAAGATAGCGAAAAACATAAGGAAAGAAAATTTATTTAAAGGGATAAAGACAACTTCCCAAACCAAGAGAAAGATATCAACATTCAAGTATAAGATAGTTATAGGACATCAAGCAGTTTTAACCCCAAAAAAGACTACCTCAAGGAACTTAATAATCAAACTGATATGGAACAGGGGGCAGGGAAGTGCTGGGTAGAAAACGGTGGGGTACCTGTTGAGGGCTCCATCCTCAGGCCTGTGCCCACAGACCTAGGTGAGGACAGGCACTCCTGTTTTCACGCCCAAATGTTGCATTTTCCAAGACCACGCTGGCCCGCCATGCCCCCCATCCTATACCCATAAAAACCCCAAGACCCTAGCGGGCACACACACACAAATGGCTGGATGTCGAGAGGAACACACCGGCAGAAGAACACACAGGCAGATGCCGACAGGCCATCGACAGCGAAACGACGTGGTCTCTGAGGGGAATTCAGTCAGAGGAGAGTCCAGCTGCTGGGTGGCCCAACTCTGGCGGAAGACCACCTTCCCACCCCATCCCCCTTCTGCTCCCCAACCACCTGCTGAGAGCAACTTCCACCACTCAATAAAACCTTGCACTCATTCTCCAAGCCCACGTATGATCTGATTTTTCTGGTAAATGAGGGCAAAAAACTCGACATACAGAAAGCCCTCTGTCCTTGCAATAAGGCAGAGGATCTAATTGAGCTGATTAACACAAGCTGCCTGCGGATGGCTAAGCTGAAAGAGCACACTGTAACACATGGCCACTGGGGCTTCTGGAGCTGTAAACACTCCCTAGATGCTGCCCATGGGTCGAAGCCCAAAAATGCTCCTCAAGACCTGCCTGGCTGTCTGCTCCCCCTAGGAATTTGAGCAGCAGGGCATCAAAGAAGCAAGACAAACCCCTGTCACATGCCCTGTGAGGGGGATAAGGGAACCCCTCCAGTTTCAAAACAACCCAAAGATCAATGATAAAGAAAGGATCCTAAAAGTAGCAAGATGTGTGAATGGGAGATAGTGACATAAAAAAAAAAAAAAAAAGAAAAACAAAAAAGAAAAAAACTAAAAGCAGCAAGAGAAACAAATAACATACAATGGAGCTCCAATGCATCTGGCAGCCCACTTTTGAGTGGATATCTTACAGGCCAGGAGAGAGTGGCATGACATATTTAAGGTACTGAAGGAAAAAACCTTTTACCCTAGAATAGTATGTCTGGCAAAAATATCCTTCACACATGAAGGAGAAATAAAGACTTTCCTAAACAAACAAAAGCTGAGGGATTTCGTCAACACCAGACCTGTCCTGCACGAAATGCAAAAGAGTACTTTCATCAGAAAGAAAAGCACATTAATGAGCAACAAGAAACCATCTGAAGGTACAAAACTTACTGGTCATAGTAACCACACAGAAAAATACAGAATATTATACAAAACTGTAATTGTGGTATGTTAACTACTCTTAAGTGGAAAGGCTCAATAATGAACCAATCAAAAATAACAACTACAAAAACTTTTCAAGACATAGAAAGTACAAGAAGATATAAATAGAAAAAACAATAAGTTAAAAATCAGAGGGATAGAGTTAAACTGTAGAGTTTTCATTAGTTTTGTTTTTGCCTGTTTGTTCCTTTTTTTTGTCTCTTTGTTCCTTTGTTTAAGCAAACAGTATTAAGTTGTTATCAGCTTAAAATAATGGGCTACAAAATAGTATCTACAATCCTAACGGTTACCTGAAATTTAAAAACATATATAAAATAGATACACAAAAGATAAAGAGAAAGAAATTAATCATACTACCGGAGAAAATTACTTTCACTAAAAGCAAAACAGAAATAAAGGAAAGAAGGAGGAGAGGATCACAAAACCATCAAAAAACAAATAATAAAATGGCAGGAGTAAGTCCTTATTTATAGTAATAACACTGTATGTAAACAAAATAAACTGCAATCAAAAGATATAGTGGATGAATAGATTTTTTAAAACTGAACCCAATGATCTGCTGCCTGTAAGAAACATACTTCACCTATATAGAAACACATAGGGTGAAAATACAGAGAAAAAATATAATCCCTGCCAATAAAAAAAACAAAAAAGAGCAGGTGTCACTATAAATATATCAGACTAAATCGATTTCAAGACAAAACTATAAGAAGAGACAAAGAAGGTCACTATATCATGATAAAGGAGTCAATTAAACAAGAGGATATAACAATTATATATATATATATATATATATATATATATGCACTCAACACTGAAGAACTCAGATACATAAAGGGAATATTATTAGAGCTAAAGAGAGAGAGAAAGAAACCCTAATACAATAATAGTCAGAGAAATAAACATTCCACTTTCAGCACTGGACATCTTTCAGAGAGAAAATCAACAAAGTATCATTAGACTTAATCTGCACTATAGACCAAATAAACCTAATCTATCTTTATAGATCATTTTATATAATAGCTACAGAATACATTCTTATCATCAGCACGTGGATCACTATCAAGGATAGACCATATGTTAAGTCACAAAAAAGTCTTAAAATATTCAAAAAATTCAAATACTATCAAGCATCTTCTCTGGCCACAATGAAATAAAACTAGAAATCAATAAAAAGAGGAATTTTGGAAACTACAGAAGCACAGAACTTAAACATTATGCTGCTGAATGACCAGTGGCTCAATGAAGAAATTAAGAAGAAAATTGAAAACCTTCTTGAAACAAATGATAATGAAAACACAATATACAAAAACCTGTGGGATACAGCAAAAACAATACTAAGAGAGAAGTATACAGCTATAAGTGCCTACACCATAAAAAGAAGAAAAACTTCAAATACACAACCTAACAATGCATCTTAAAGAACTGGTAAGCTAGAGCAAACTGAACACAAAATTAGTAGGAAAAAATAAACAATAAAGGTCAGAGCAGAAATAATGACATTGACATGAAGCAAACAATACAAAAGATCAAGGAAACAAAAAGTTGGATTTTGAAAAGTTAACCAAAACTGACAAACCTTTAACCAAACTAACTAACAAAAAAAAGAGACAAGATCCAAATAAATAAAATCAGAGGTGAAAAATGAGACATTACAACTGGTACTGCAGAAGTTCAAAGGATTAGTGACTACTATGAGCAACTATTGCTAATAAACCAGAAAATCTAGAAGAAGTGAAATTTGTATACACATACAACCTACCAAGATTAAACCAGGAAGAAATAAAAAACTAGACCAATAACAAGCTGTAATAAAAAGTATCTCAATGAAGAAAAAGCCAGGGACCTGATGGCTTCACTGCTGAATTCTACCAAACATTCAACAAACTAATAACCATCCTACTCAAACTATTCTGGAAAAGAGAGAAGAAGGGAACACCTCCAAACTCATTCTACAAGGCCAGTTTACCTTGATACCAAAACCAGACAAAGACACATCAAAAAAAGAAAACTACAGGCCAATATCTCTGATGAAAAATGATGCAAAAATCCTCAACAAAATACGAACAACCTGAATTCAACAATGAATTTAAAAGATCATTCATCATGACAAAGTGGGATTTATCCCAGGGATACAACAATGGTTCCACATACACAACTCAATTGATGTGGTACATCGTATCAACAGAATGAAAGACAACAATCGTATGATCATTTTCATTGATGTTGAAAAATAATTCAAAACAACTCAACATCCTTTTATGATAAAAACCCTCAAAAAAATGAGGAACATACCTCAACATAATAAAAGCCATATACGATAGAACCACAGCTAGTATCACACTGAATGGGAAAAGAGTAAAAGCCGTTCCTCTAAGATCTGAAACACAACAAGGATGCCCACTGTCACCACTGCTACTCAACATCATACCAGAAGTTCTTACTAGAGTGAAGAGACAAGACAAAGAAATAAAGAGCATTCAGTTTGGAAAGGAAGAAGTCAAATTGTCATTGTTTGTAGATGATATGACATTATATTTGGAAAAACCTAAAGAGTCCACCAAAAAATTGTTAGAACTTATAAACAAATCCAGTAGTTGCAGGATACAAAATCATTGTGCGAAAATCAGTAGCATTTCTATATGCCAACAGTGAACAATCTGAAAAATAAATCAAAAAGTAATCCTGTTTACAATAGCCATAAATGAAATTAAATACCTGGAAATTAATCAAAGAAGTGAAGGATTTCTATAATGAAAATTATAAAACACAGATGAAAGAAATTGAAGAGGACACATACACAAAAAAGATATTCCTTTTCATGGATTGAAATAATCAATATTGTTCAAATGTTGTCCATACTACCCTAAGCAATCTACAGATTCAATGTATCCCTATCAAAATACCAATATCAATTCTGTTGATATTCCTCAACAGAAATAGAATAAATAATTCTAAAACTTATATGGTACCACAAAAGACCCAGAATAACCAAAACTATCCCGAGTAAAAACAACAAAATTGGAGGAATTACATTACCTGACTTCAAATTATACTACAGAGCTGTAGGAATCAAAACAGCATGGTACTGGTATAAACACATTACATAGGCCAGGAGCAGTGGCTCACAGCTGTAATCCCCAGCACTTTGGGAGGCAGAGGAGGGTGGATCACCTGAGGTCAGGAGTTTGAGACCAGCCTGGCCAACATCGTGAAACTCTGTCTCTACTAAAAATACAAAAATTAGCTGGGCATGGTGGTGGGCACCTGTAATCCCAGCTACTCAGGAAACTGAGGCAGAAAAATTGCTTGAACCCAGGAAGCGGAGGTTGCAGTGAGCCAAGATCGTGCCATTGCACTCCAGCCTGGGCAACAAGAGCAAAACTCCATCTCAAAACAAAAACAAAACAAAACAAAAAAACAAACAGAACATAGATCAATAGAACAGAATGAATAACCCAGAAACAACTCCACACACACAGTGAACTCATTTCCAACAAAGATGGCAAGAACATATACTGGGAAAAAGGTAGTTCAAATAATAGTGCTGGAAAAACTGGATATCCATATGCAGAAAAATGAAACTAGACCCCTATCTCTTGCCATATAGAAAAATCAAATCAAAATAGATTAAATACTTAAATCTAAGACCTCAAACTATAAATCTACTACAAGAAAACATTGGGGAAACTCTTCTTCAGGACATTGATCTGGGCAAAATTTTCTTAATACTCCACAAACACAGCCAACCAAAGTAAAAATTGATAAGTATGATCACATCAAGTTAAAATGCTTATGCACAGCAAAGGAAACAATCAACAAAGACACAACCCACAAAATAGGAGAAAATATTTGCAAACTACCCATCTGATAAGGGATTAATAACAAGAATATATAAGGAGCTCAAACAACTCTATATGAGAAAATCTAATAATCAGATTTTAAAATGGGACAAATATTTGCATAGACATTTCTCAAAAGCAGATATACAAATGGCAAACAGGCATATGAAAAGGTGGTCAACATTATTCATCATCGGAGAAATGCAAATCAAAACTACAATGAGATATCATCTCACCCCAGTTAAAATGGCTTATATCCAAAGACAGGCAAAAACAAATGCTGCAAAGTATGTGAAGAAAACGAAACCCTCATTCACTGCTGGTGAGAATTTAAATTACCACAACCGCTATGGAAGACAGTTTGGAGGTTCCTCAAAAAATGAAAAATAGAGCTACTGTATTCCATAATCTTGATGCTGAGTATATACCCAAATGAAAGGAAATCGGTAAACCAAAGAGATATCTACACTCTTGTGTTTGGTGTAATACTGTTCACAAAGCTAAGATTTGGAAGCCACGTAAGTGTCCATGAAGATGAATGAATATAGAAAACATAGTACTTACACACAATGGAGTACTATTCACCCATAAAAAAGAATGAGATTTGTCATTTGCAACAACATGGATGGAAGTGGAGATTATTATGCTAAGTGAAATAAGCCAGGCACAGAGAAAAACATGACATGTTTTCACTTATTTGTGGGATCTAAAAATAAAAAAAAATTGAACTCATGGAAATAGAGAGTAGAATGGTAGTTTTCAGAGGCTTGGAAGGGTAGTGGGTGATGGGGGAGGAAGGTAAGTAGGGATAGTTAATGGGTATAAAAATACAGTAAGATGAATAATACCTAGTATTTGATAGTACAACAGAATGGCTATAGTCAGTAATAATTTAATTGTACATTTTTAAAAAATCAAAAGAGTTCAGTTGGATTGTCTATAACATAAAGGATAAATGCTTGAGGGGATGGATGCCCCATTTTACATGATGTGCTTATTTCACATTGTATACCTGTATCAAGACTTCTCATGTACCACATAACTATATATACTTACTATGTACCCATAAAAATTAATATAAATATGTTTTTAAATAATTTAATTATACATATTAAAACAACTTAAAGAATATAATTAGCTTATTTTAACACAAAGGATAAACGCTTGTGGTGATGGATACCCCATTTAACTGTTGCGATTATTACGCATTGCATGCCTGTATAAAAATATCTCATGTAACCCATAAATGTATATACCTACTATGTACCCACAGAAGTTAAATATTTTTAAAAAACTTGGAACTGTAGGACAAAATATTAAATATGTATGAAAGGGAGAGTTTTAATGTCACCTCCTTGGCTATAATTTAACTCTGAGAAAAAAAATTTTAATTTGCTTCTGAACAAAAGAATCTCTCATGGGTTATTAGGTTCAGTTAACAATGCTAAGGCTAATCTATCGATATTTAATGTGTCAAATGCTCCAGCATTCAGAGTTCATTTTCCACCCTTTCTTCAAATCCTCCACTTATAAACCCTATTAAATCTACATGGAATTGAATTATCATCAAGAAACTAACTGTAATTGTATTATAGTCAGAAAAACAATCCTTAGGGACAGATTTTTAGAATAATAACTATTGGTACTCATCAACTAATTAAATAATGTCTGGAATATTTTATTTTAAGAAATGCAGTGTAGTGGGGATATGTCCCACAGAAGCGTCCTATAGCTAAACAGTGATCATTTATTACTATAACATTTTTATCTTAGAGGACTTGGGTCTTTTATTTTTTAGTAGACTACAACAACACAAATTTATTGTCTTATAGTTCTGGGGTCAGAAGTCTGAAATGTGCTTTACTAACCTAACTTCAAGGTGTCAACAGGATTCGCTTTCTTCCAGAGGCTCTTGGGGATAATCCATTTCCCTACCTTTTCTACTTTCTAGAGGTTGCCTGTATTCCTTGCTTCACAGTCCTTCTTCCATGTTCAAAGCCAGCAATCTCATCACTACTTCCATTGCCACATCTCTTTCTCTGACTCTCCTGCCTCCCTCTTTCTTCTATAAGGATCTTTGTGATTACAAAGGGCCAACCCAGACAATGTTGTAGTAAGAGCTGTTATTCCCATCTTATAAGCAGGAAAGTGCCACTCAGAGAGCCCTTGCTATTTCCAGTGTCCCATTTATTCCTCTGAAGAAGAGTGAATAACGTAATAATCCGCATTCATTCTAGATTTCATTTTTGTTCTTTTTAAATTAACCAATTAATCATTTTTAATTGACAAATAAAAATCTAATAGGTTTATCATGTACAACATGATGTTTTCAAATATGCATACATTTTGGAATTGTTCAATTGAGCTAATTAACATAGGTATTACATCACATGTTTATATCATCTTTTGGAATGAGAACACTTAAAATCTACTCCCTTAGCAATTTTCAAGAATATAATAGGTGGTTATTAAGTACAGTCACCATGTTGTACAATAGAGCTCTTGAACTTATTTCACCTATCTAACCAGAATTTTAAGGGCAAAAGTCTTTACTTAAATCGGAACTGTTGTTCACTAAAGGTTATCTTCTTATTATAATATATCTCACTAGATGAAGAGTAATGTATGATGCCTGTCAACTGTCTCTCTTCAAGAAAGACACATTTCTTCTCTATTTCAGGAAAAACACTGCACCCCCATATCTTTTGGGGTGGTTATTTATCTTTCAGAGACATGCAGCTCTAATATTAAATGCTGTCTTACTGAATTATTAGTAAACAGGTCTTCATATCTTATGCTTCCTGCAGTAAATTCCTAATTGCATAAAGGGAGGAAACTATTTCCTAGGTGAAAAAGCACAGCAGAATTTAAACCAAGGAGATTCCAAGTTCTCTTAGCAAATAAAACTCCCAGAAATCCAAATAATAAGACTGATGTTTTACAAGCTATATATCAATATAGTCTATGTTACTCAGTAATCTAAACATTAATTACAATTAACTAATTAAGAACTATTGTAAGCTTAAGTAAAGGAGAAGGTCTCTCAAACAATGAATACAAATAAAATATTCTGTTTGTAAAACTCACAGCATTGTCAGTGGTCTAACTTTGCTTTAAAACATATTTGAAGGATAATATAAAATATTTTATGCTAGGAATGTATGAACTGAATGAGATACATGATTAGAAAATATTTTGATATACTGGTTTTGTTCTAGTTTAATTGTTAACTGTTTAATTGTTAAAGAAAATATATATGTTCAATTCCAGTTCTAACTGCATCACTGAATTTTAAAAAACACCTTTAATTCAGTTTGTAGTTCAATAAAAATAATAATGATATTTTCGGGGGTTGAGCCTTGCAAATTAATAATGTTTACTGAGTTTTTAGTTTATTATTTGGTTTAGGTCAAATCCTTATTTTAGCCATTAGCAAAGGGCTAGACTAATGACTAAATTATAGCACTGCAAAAAAACCTCTTTTGTTTTTGACATATAATGTGTATCTTTTATTTTTACAGATTTGGGGAGTACAAGTGCAGTTTTGATACATGAATACATTGCAGAGTGGTGAAGTCTGGGCTTTTAGTGTAACCATCACCCAAATACTATACATTATACCCAATAGGTAATTTCTCATCCCTCACCCACCTCCCAGTCACTGTTCCACCTTTTGGAATCTCCAATATCCATTATTCCACTCTGTCCATGTGTACTAATGTGTGTGTTAGATTAAGCATACCATCCTTCCATATTGTATTAATTTTCAATTTATTTCTTCCTTATATTCCATATCTAATGAAACTGCCGTAAAATTAACATACACAATAAATATGCTACATATGATTTATCCTCAAGGATCTGATGATATTATTATGTGACATGACTAGCTATTCAACTTCAATGTTAGAAAAGACATCATCTAAAAGTAAAGATAAATGCCCTGTCCATTGTAAAACTCTATCATATGTTGCTTAGGCAAGAAAATCATTGAAAATGACAAGAAACATGTCAATCAAAATATAGCTATTAAAAGTGCTTAAATAGATTGATAATCCATACAGTGCTAAAAGAATGACAATAAGTATTTTCTAAATTACAAGTTTAAGGAAAGTCATAATTCTTGCCCCATGCAGACCTACACGTGAAGACTTTTTATCACTTTTTTGTGATACTCTGCTGATAAGCACCCATCAATTTTACTGTCCAGAACTCTGTTTCAATCAAAATAAGATTAACAGTGCCACAGCAGAATATCAATGAAATATCTAACTGAGAGCATCTGTCAGGATAGAAACAAACAGAGTTTAGGTAAGAAACAGATTGCTAAATTTTCATTCCGATGGTTGGATATGGCAAATATTTATTGAATTAAAAAAATATTTGCTGTTGATTAGCACTTATTACAGATCTAGTAGAATTCAGAAAATACACACACACACACACACACACACACACAAACACACACAGACGTATACATATATTTCCACATTAGGAAAGCCTAGTAGAATGCATGGGACATGGCAAATCCTTAATCAGTAATTACTGAATGATGTAATGACATATTCCCCTTTCATTTTCCACAACTAACTTGATATAAATTTATTGTCATATCTCCTCTACCAACAGCGTTATATTTGGGACTGGGGGTTAGAATGAAAGACACTAAAATATGTCTTCATGTAACTACTAATACTTATCACTTTATACCTATCTTTCCTGTAAACCGTGTGGACTAGATAGAGAAGCAAATCCTTAATTTCCAATATACTAGACAATATCAAATTATAAGTGTCTTTTAGGCTTTGTTGGACTCTTGTAGAATTTGATAAGTAAAATTTTATATATATTTATGGTATACAATGTAATATTTTAAATATACATTGGGGAATGGCTAAATCAATCTATTTAACATATGTATCACCTCACATCCTTTTTGTGGTGAGAACACTTAAAATCTCCTTCCTAAGAAATTTTCATATCTACAATATATTGTTGATAACTGTAGTCACCATGACGTACAATAGAAACCTTGAATGTATTCCATTGTCTAACTAAAATTTTGTGTCCTTTGTCCAACATCTCCTCAATCCCCTCATCATCCAGCCTCTGGTAACCACCATTTTACTCCGTGATTTTATGAATTTGACTTTTTCACACTCCACATATTAGTGAGATCATGTAATATTTGTTTATCTGTGCCTGGCTTATTTCATTTCACATAATATCCTCCATAATGTCATCCATATTACTAAAAATGACAAGATTTCATTCCTTTTATGGTCAAAGAGTATTACATTGTGTATATATACAACATTTTCTTTATCCATTAATCCACTTATAGACACTTAACTTGATTCCATATTTGGCTATTGTCAATAATGCTACAATGAACTTGGGAGTGCAGTGTACTTTTGACATATTGATTCATATTCTTTGGAGACATAGCCAGCAGTGGGATTGTTGGATCATATGGTAGTTCTGTTTTTAATTTTCTGAGGAACCTCCATACTGTTTTGTATAGTGGCCGTACTAATTTACATCCCCACAATAGGCTTTGTTGAACTTTGAATACAAGTCTTTAATATGCTGAAAAGATTCACTGATGGCAAATCTGACCTTGTTTTGTAGGCCTATAAATTTCTGGGAATAACATACTTGGAATCGGCATATAGAATGGTATTCTACTGATATCTTCACTGGAAATTCAGTGAGTTTATATCTTTAGCATGAAACTCAAGGAGAAATTGGAAGTACTCTCAGTAGGCTTTTAACTGACACAACAATGAATAGAGTTTCTAACACTTTAAAAGAAGTTGTTGTAGTTAAATAAGTGGGATACAGTCTGCTAAAAATGGAATAAGAACCAATGATAGATGGTATACCAAGAAATAAATAAGATGAGTAAAATGGAGATAGCTTTCTAAGCCACTCACATATATATTCATATATATTCAAAGAAAGAGGAGAGCTCCACAGTGATAGCTGACTACTTAAAATATTACTGTAGCCAGTAATATTGTAAGACCAAATTTAAATCAATGATTGTATATATTTCATAATATTTTCTTTTTGCCATATTCTGTATTAGTGCCTAAGCATTGATAACTTAACCCAAAGCCATTCAACATTTACTATATATTTCTAGATTAAAATATTGTCCAAATAGAATGTAGGATGGCTGTAGTAATTCTTTTGAATCATTCATTTTCAGAAAGAATTGGAATTTTCTTCTCACTTCTGGTACTGATAACATGAAACAATAGGTAAGTTAGTGATATGGTTTGGCTACATCCCCACCCAAATCTCATCTTGCATTGTAGTTCCTATAATCCCCATGTATCATGGGAGGGACCCAGGGGAGAAAACTGAATTATGGGGCCATTTACCTCCGTGCTCTTCTCATGACAGTGAGTGAGTTCCATGAGATCTGACGGTTTTACAAGAAGCTTTCCCCGCTTTGCTCTGCACTTTTCCTTGCTGCCACCATGGGAAGAAGAATGTGTTTCCTTTCCCTTCCACCATGATTGTATGTTTCCTGAGGCCTCCCCAGCCCTGTGGAACTGTGAGTCAATTAAACCGCTTTCCTTTATAAATTACTCAGGCTTGGGTATGTCTTTATTAGCAGTGTGAGAAAGAACTAATACAGTAAATTGGTACCCAGAGAGTGGGGTGCTGCTATAAGGCCACCTGGAAATGTGGAGGCAACATTGGAATCAGGTAACAGGAAGAGGTTGGAACAGTTTGGAGGGCTCAGAAGAATACAGAAAAATGTGGGAAAGTTTGGAACTTTCTAAGACTTGGAGGGCTCAGAAAACAGGAAGATGGGGAAAAGTTTGGAACTTCCTAGAGACTTGTTGAATGGCTTTGACCAAAAAGCTGATAGTGATATGAACAATAAAGTCCAGGCTGAGTTGATCTCAGATAGAGATGAGAAACTTGTTGGGAAATGAAGCAAAGGTGACTCTTGTATGCTTTAGGAAAGAGACTGGCAGCATGTTGCCCCTGCCCTAGATATCTGTGGAACTGTGAACTTGAGAGAGATTATTTAGGGTATTTGGTGGAAGAAATTTCTAAGTAGCAAAGCATTCAAGAGGTGACTTGGGTGCTGTTAAAGGCATTCAATTTTATAAGGGAAACAGGGCATAAAAGTTCAAAAAGTGTGCAGCCTGACAATGTGATAGAAAAGAAAAACTCATTTTCTGAGGAGAAATTCAATCCAGCTGCAGAAATTTGTATAACAAATGAGAAGCTGGATTTTAATCACCAAAACGTTGGGGAAAGTGTCTCCATGGCATGTCAGAGGCCTTCTTGGCAGTGCCTCCCATCACAGGCTTGGAGGCCTAGGAGGAAAAAGCGGTTTTGTTGCCCAGGTCCAGGGTCCCTGTGCTGTGTGCAGCCTGGGGATTTGGTGCCCTCCATTCCAGCCACTCCAGCCGTGGCTGAAAGGGGCCAACGTAGAGCTGGGGACGTGGCTTCAGAGGGTGCAAGCCTCAAGGCTTGGCAGCTTCCATGTGGTGTTGAGCCTATGAGTGCACAGAAGTCAAGAATTGAGGTTTGGGAACCTCCACCTAGATTTCAGAGGATGTATGGAAATGCCTAGATACTCAGGCAAAAGTTTACTGCAGGTTTACACAATACCTATACCCCCATTGTACCTAAGAAGTAACTAGCTTACTTTTTATTTTACAGGCTCATAGGTGGAAGGGACTTGCTTTTTCTCAGATGAGACTTTGGACTGTGGACTTCTAGGTTAATGCTGAAATGAGTTAAGACTTTGGGGGACTGTTGGGAAGCATGATTGGTTCTGAAGTGGGAGACCTGAGATTCGGAGGGGCCAGGGGCAGAATGATATGGTTTGGCTCTGTGTCCCCACCCAAATCTCATCTTGTATTGTACTCCCACAATACCTACATGTTGTGGGAGGGACCCAATGGGTTTGGCTCTGTGTCCCCACCCAAATCTCATCTTGTATTGTACTCCCACAGTTCCTGCATGTTGTGGGAGGGACTCAATCAGAGATAACTTGAATCATGGGGGCTGTTTACCCCATACTGTTCTCATAGTAGTGAATTGAATAAGTCTTACAAGGTCTGATGGTTTTATCAGGGGTTTCCACTTTTGCATCTCTCTCATTTTCTCTTGCTGCCACCATGTAAGAAGTACCTTTTACCTCCCACCATGATTCTGAGGCTTCCCCAGCCATGTTAAACTATAAGTCTAATTAAACCTGTTTTTCCCCAGTCTCAGGTATGTCTTTATCAGCAGCATGAAAATGGACTAATGCAGTACCTTTCCCACTTTTATTATCCAAAAAATTCATACATGTAGCCCACTACTTATCTCACCCACAATGTTAGGTTTGCATATCGATTGTACAGCTATGAAAAATCACATAGCATAGTCTTGAACACCTGCAATCTTCTTGCCAAAAAATAGCAAAATAAAGTGAGTCTTTCAAAGTTTTCATGATTACATTGAAGAGTCATGGTATAGAAAATCAATGGCATATAGGCAAAACAAACATATTATCCATATTTGTAATCTACTATACGGAGAATTCCAACTACAAGACTCTTCAGGTCATCCATTTTGAAAAAGCATTAAAAAACAAATATATTAATGCAAACCCTCTACTATGATTAAAAGGAGGGATCTCTTTCTGATGTAATAAATACTCTGAGCCATCTTTTAAAAGCCAGTAAGGCTCAACGTAGGACATTGAAGACCTGAGTCATCAACTTGATATTCCACAACATTATATGTACATCTTTTCCAGATTGTCAAAATTCCACTCAATTTCATTGTATGTGGTGCCCCTTACTCCAAAGAGCCTCTAAGTAGCTGCCATAGGCTATGGTATCTGGATGTGAGCTCCACTACTTAGGAATGTCAAAAGTTCAAAGCTCTAGTCTTGGCTACTTCAAGTATCTAAACATGATATGGTGGGCACATCAGGCTCCTTTCAATGATAAGCTGCTGGAAACATGCAAATATTCCAGACTGTATCAAGACAAAGGGTTTGCAAAAGAAGTAAAAGTAACTCGTCTGTTTTTTGGACATTAGCATTCACGTAAATCTCTGTCTCTACTTCTTTTTTTGTTTGTTTTGAAAGGATAGAAGAGTGCCAAGTTTAACAAAAATCCCCATTTGTGAATTAAAATTTAGTGTAATTTTATGACATTATCAAATACTTTGCTAT
Organism: Homo sapiens; assembly: GCF_000001405.40. Lineage (NCBI taxonomy): Eukaryota > Metazoa > Chordata > Mammalia > Primates > Hominidae > Homo > Homo sapiens. The sequence continues at coordinate 86,465,099 of NC_000023.11, read as the reverse complement.
TTGTGTATTTGTCTCTGAATTTTAAGATTCACTGTACTTCAAGTTTAATTCAATATTTTAACTACTGTTAAAAAACACTGTCATGGAAAAGCAGAAAGAAAAGTCACTCATATACTTTATTACAGAGAGAAACCGCAAACTAAATTCTAACATTATTTAGTTTTGAATTATGAGTTGTACAAAATTGGTACTTAGGAAAAATGTATAATATTGAGTTCAGTTATGTTCTTTTCTTAATAGTATAGATTTGTGTTTTTTTATTGAGAGACTGACTTTCAGTCATTTTTCTTCTGTGTAAGTCTTCCTGTTTTTAGCAGCTGAAAGTTACTCATCCTTTTATGATATCTATACCTATTACCTCAGATATTTTTCTACACTTATCTTTTTTGAATATTTATTTTTTATTTTTTTTTATTTTACTTTAAGTTATGGGATACATGTGCAGAACATGCAGGTTTGTTACATAGGTATACGTGTGCCATGGTGGTTTGCTGCACCTATCAACCCATCATCTAGGTTTTAAGCCCCACATGCATTAGGTATTTGTACTAATGCTTTTCCTCCCCTTGACCCACAACCCCTGACAGGCCCTAGTGTGTGATGTTCCCTTCCCGGTATCCATGTGTTTTCATGGTTCAACTCCCACTTATGAGTGAGAACATGCGGTGTTTGGTTTTCTGTTCCTGTGTTAGTTTGCTGAGAATCATGGCTTCCAGCTTCATCCATGTCCCTGCAAAGGACATGAACTCATTCTTTTTATGGCTGCATAGTATTCCATGGTGTATATGTGCCATGTTTTCTTTATCTAGTCTATAATTGATGGGCATTTGGGTTGGTTCCAAGTCTTTGCTATTGTGAATAGTGCCAGAATAAACATACGTGTGTGTGTGTCTTTATAGTAGAATGATTTATAATCCTTTGAGTATATACCCAGTAATGGGATTACTGGGTCAAGTGGTATCTCTGGTTTTAGATCCTTGAGGAGCTGCCACACTGTCTTCTACAATGGTTGAACTAATTTACACTCCCACCAACAGTGTAAAAGCATTCCCATTTCTCCACATCCTCTCCAGCATCTGTTGTTTCTTGACTTTTTAATGATTGCCATTCTAACTGGCGTGAGATGGTATCTCATTGTGGTTTTGATTTGCATTTTTCTAACAGCCAGTGATGATAAGTTTTTTTTCGTGTTTGTTGGCCGCATAATTGTCTTCTTTTGAGAAGGGTCTGTTTATACCCTTTGCCCACTTTTTGATGGAGTTATTTTTTTCTTGTAAATTTGTTTAAGTTCCTTGTAGATTCTGGATATTAAACCTTTGTCACATGGAAAGATTGCAAAAATTTTCTCCCATTCTGTAGGTTGCCTGTTCATTCTAATGATAGTCTCTTTTGCTGTGCAGAAGCTCTTTAGTTTGACTAGATCCTATTTGTCAATTTTGGCTTTTGTTATTATTGCTTTTGGTGTTTTAGTCATGAAGTCTTTGCCCATGCCTGTGTCCTGAATGGTATTGCCCAGGTTTTCTTCTAGGGTTTTTATGATTTGGGGTTTTTCGTTTAAGTCTTTAACCCATCTTGAGTTAATTTTTGTATAAGGTGTAAGGAAGGGGTCCAGTTTCAGTTTTCTTCATACGGCTAGTCACTTTTTCCAGCACCATTTATTAAATAGGGAATCCTTTCCCCATTGCTTGTTTTTGTCAGGTTTGTTGAAAATCAGGTGGTTGTAGATGTTCTACACCTATCTTAAGGCATTTACACGTCTTACTTTTTATTTGAATAATCAATATATAAACTTATGAATTATTTCTCCTACTAGATTAATCAATGGACAAGCAGAAACTAAATCTGTGCCTACATATATTCTCATGATTTTAGTACAGTTTTTTCAATATCATCTTATACAAGAAAATATAATAATACATACATAATAGGTTGAAAAATAGCTAACCTCTTTCTCAAAGTACAATAATTAACAGGAATGTTCATGGAATTGAATATTATGGTTAGTTTCTATCGTAGTGCTTTGCAATCAGAATCTGTTCCAAAATTTCAATTTATATTATGCTCAAAGCCCTGTGGTTTAATATTTTTACAAAATATGTCAGAACTATTTCCTACTTTTATAAATATAAGTTTATAAATAAAATAGGATCTTTATCACAGGACCAGAGACCTTGCTATAACTTAGTGTCATAACTGTGAACATAACTAATCATTGTGCCATTCTAGAGATGCAGACAGCAAAGAAAATGGAAAGAAATGTGCACTGATCCCAAGATGCTTCTTGTATTGTTTTATCTTGCCATGACTTCCTCAAAGGTAGGTATAACTCCTGAGAGAAATTTGTATACTTGAGGATCTAAAATAGTTGTTTTCCAATTAGTCATGGTTTTGTTGTACCATTACCAAGCATTCCTACCTGCTCTGAAGAATGAGCAGGGCATCCAAACACCAAATATATATTATGCAAAGATATATATAATCATTGTGATAGAAAACAGCCTGTATTGATGATTAGGTATTCTGCAATTCTCCACAGTAATTGTGGACTCCTGCAATTATTTGCAAAAAGGAATGAAGAATGTGTAATTAGATGAACAATGTATGTACAAGACCTCTTGCCCCTGCCAACTGTAAAATTTTCCTCATTTCAATAGGGAAACTTTACTAGTACCTACAGATTTTCAAATTTTAGCTTTTTATTATCTACTATTAATTTCCCATCATCATTTGCATTTATTTCACTGTATGCATTCTGCTTTGTACAACGTAATTCCCAAGGAAGGAATGTGCTCTAGCCTAACAATAATATTTGTTTTATATAAAAATGCATCAAAGAGAAATATAAAGAAACTCTTCAGTTCAGAGTGAGCAATAAGGTGTTGTTCTTATATGATATTTGTAGTTGAATCTGTTATTTCATCCTTCTCTTTTATTCTGTATCTTATAGCACATGTTTTTTATCATTAAGGTTTTCAAGTAAATAAAAAACCAACAACGGTTTTCTGTATCCAAGTGTAGATGGTAACCCTTCAGTGACATTTCTCTGTTGATAGTCTCCTTTAATTTGTGCATAAAGTTTCAGGTCAAGGTTCTGCTGATACATTCCAAAACAATTATCTTCTTGCTAAGAAGTTCTGAGCCTATAATATTTTTTCCACAGGTAACAGAGAAAATATACCCAATGAATAAGACACCAAAGCTTTGAAAAAGTAGATGTCAAAAGCAAATTAGGCCTGTGATGATACGAACTTCAAAAAAATAAAGCACAATACTTCTATGAATTTGTAATAGCATATCAGAAAGCAAAGAATAAGATAAACATTTTTCTGTTTGTTTTTTGCTTTCACAGAACCTCCATTTTTATATGCTTTTAGATGGTCACATTTTGCTGACATTTACAAACATTTCATGTTGATTTTACATGGGTCATATCAATCATCTATACAGTTTCAATGACACTTTGTTAAATAAACTGTCTGAAAGATTTATAGAGAATTTGATAAAAGTAAAGAAGGTGTAGTTTAGCTTTTAAAGATGCATTACCCCTTTTCTGAGGTGTAATATCACTTCTAAAACATCATTAAGCTTTTCTAGCCATAAGTAAATAAAGAAAAAAATCTCTTTCTGCCACACTTTTATTTACATAACATTCTTCTTCTTCCAAACGTTGGTGGTAGAGTCAGAATGAGAATCCACCCCCCAATACAACAGTCTGTGGATATAAGGTTTGTATACTGATCCTATTTTGTTGAACATTACACATAAGTTAACAGCATTCAGAATTTATTCACTAAAGAATAATTAAATAATTATGATTTCTTAATCAATATATGCTAACAAGCGCTTCTCTCAAACACTTGAATTCTTGTATTCTGAATTGGGTGGTATATAATGATGAACATGCACAAATTATTCCTCACACATTATCAAGTCATTCAAGGAAAGGGAGGTTACTAAAAGACTACACTGGAATTCATGGGTTTTTAAAACATAAATAGGTACAGTGTGAGGCCATTTAATTAAGTGTTAATATATAACTGCTTGAAGCATTTCGGTGGGTTTATTGTTTGTTATTTCACAAAGTTAAAAATAGGTTTTACGTTGAGCTAGACTTGTAAAGAGTCAGTCTCTATCAATTTGTGCAAGGCAAGCAATAATGAGGCCACGTTACAATTATGTTAGCAATTATACACATCATTGTATTGGGAATAGGCAATAAGGGTCTTGTTAACATCATGGGTCTCACTTTTTTTTAATTTTACATATGAATTTCTTGAAAATTACTAATTTGAATACAGTTTTTCAGATTGTGACACTATTCTAGTCCCACTTGTAAGTTTCCTTGCTTAATGTACTACCTACTGCCAAATATAGGCTATTTCCCTTGTTGTGATTTCTTGAAAAAATTTATAGTCTTTTAGATCACTAAGTTTTGTTGGTCATAAAAGGAGAATACATTCCAGTAATGAATAATTCATAATCTAAAAATTTTAGACCTTTATATTTAAAATAGCTAATTTTATATGCTATATATGTTAGAATCGAAGAGTATAAGTTCTCACTAAAGGATCTTGCATATAATTGTATATTTATTCACTTTCAAAGTATGTATTGGTTATATTTCTAAAAATGAAATTTGACCTGTAGTGTAATCAAATATATGTTTTAAAGGTAATCTCTATTACAATAGAATTTAATTCTACTAATAATAAGAGTATATGAAACACTTTTTGTGAATGTTCAGAGAAAACATATTCTAAACATAACATGCATAATTTGTTTACACATAACATTTTGAAATGTAGTATTCTTATATAGATAAAAGAGGATTCTATACTGAGATAACATGTAGAAATCCTTTTCTATTTCAGAGGCCACATTTTTTCCAAAATATTTGCTAAAATTATTGTTATACCTTCCAATCTAATAATTATGTTTCTCTTAAGCTTTTTGTTAAGAAATCACAGTAATTTCTACCATGTTCTATTCAAGTAAAAGCAGGCTAAGGTTTTCAGCTTTTGATCCTTTTTCATTTTTAAGTAACTAATATCATTTGTTATAAAACTAGGAGAAAAAATTCTTTGTTGTTAATATAAATGGGGGAGCAAACTAGATGTTCAAATTAAGTCTTTATTAGCAATTTAGTTGTGGAAACACATTTTGAAAATCACTGGTTGGACAATTTTATAGTAGTTTAGCAATAAGTAATCAATAATAAAAATAATCATAATCCTATAAAAAGTCAAGAGCCCATTAATGGCATTTGTTTTACTTTATCAAAGAGAATTTGAGTAAAGAAACTTCATTTTGGGAATAGAAATGCTAAACACTCTACTTAATAGCAACAGTCTGCACACGTACTAACATTTTAGAGCTGTTTGCATTACAAAATTATTGCCATGCTAACCATTAGATTTGGTAAACTGAAAAGTTACAGGCCTCTCATCCCTTAAGTAAAAATAAACATTATCTAAGAAAATAGAGGTGACAAAGAAGAAATAAGAAAATTCTAATTACCTTTAATATTTCAGGTTGTTTACTAAGTTAAAGGTCATTTACTACATTAGTTTGTCATACAAACTTAGAAGTTAGTAAAATACATTTGAATCCCCAAGCATTCAAATGAGCAAACAGATAAAGCCTAAAACATGGTTCCAGGTACAAACTGGGTGCGCAAAGGTTGTGTTTAAATAACTGAAAGGATTCTGTCTGATACCATTTTAAAGCAACAAAGTTCTTGCAAAAGTATAATTAACCCTTTTATAAATTGCTTTTGAGAAGCATCCAGGAGCCTTCTAATGGTCTTCAACTGTTCATGCAGCTTCTATAAATATCTGTCCCAATGCACAACTTAGGCTTAACATGGAAACTAGTTTGTCATAGGTTTAAAAAATGTGATATAAAACAATAGAAGAGCAAAATAGAATGCTATTTTTTCATGTCTGAGGTGGAAAGAAAATGTTTATATTCAGAATGTTTACATAGCTTGAAACAAATTATTTGTTGTTAAAAACACTTCTTTTGTTTTTAGTTTAAAATAGTTTAATCTCTATTTTTTCTTTAAAATTTAATAAGTTTTTTATTATACTTTAAGTTCTGGGGTACATGTGCAGAGCGTGCAGTTTTGTTACATGGGTATACACGTGCCCTGGTGGTTTGCTGCACCTATCAACTCGTCACCTACATTAGGTATTTCTCCTAATGCTATCCCTCCCCTAGCCTCCACCCCCTGACAGGCCACAGTATGTGATATTCCCTTCCCTGTGTCCATGTGTTCTCATTGTTCAACTTAAGCTCTTAAATCATAAGTAATGCCTCTGCATGATCAATTCTTCCCCAAATTGATTTAACACTTATCCTCAAAGAATATTTATAAATTTTTCCTTTTATTCTACATCTGGCACTTTTCATTATAAATTATTTGGTACATATTTGAACATAAAACCAATTTTCATAGCCCACTATGATAATGTCTTATTTACACAAATTGAGTGTTTAATGAGAACAAAAATGCTGTGTTATTTCATGACCACATCATCACTATTTGAAGTCATGTAATGACTTAGTATTAAGTCCCATTATGGATAATATTGTATCCCTTAGCATGCATCAAAAAACAGGCCTCATCCAAGACAAGTGTTCTCTTTTGTTATATTTCTTAAGTCCATTATCCCCTTCATTAATCACATTTTATCAGCCCCTGACACTGGGGAAGCAGCTTTAATTTCCAGATAGCGTGTTACCTTTTCACATTACTAACAGGGTCTTCATCTAGGACACAATTCCTATCATGAATGTCAAATTGAAGAATGACTTTTGACTTGAGGTTTTTGCCAACATTTGCCTTTTTATTGGAAACTTTTACCATGAAAAATATGATGCAAAAGAGTATGAACTATAAAATTTTCCTAGAAGTAAAAGAGATTGGATGATTCAATTCCAAGTTTAGACTCAGAGAAGATAAAAAGAGCAATGAGTAAGAAAGTTGGTCTAAAAGCAAAATTTGCCTTCATGTTTCTTCTCAATCAGATTTCCCAAAACAATCTAGAATTGACTAAAATACAGTCACTAAATGAAGTGCGGTATTGTATTTAAACTTGACCACTGTATTGTTTCATATTTCATTCATGTGACGTAAATATTCCCAGGGACTATCTCCTTTAGAGATCTGTCAACCCCCAAGCAAATACACATGAGTAAAAAACTTTCAACATTCCCTTGCCAGACTAAGCCTTAAAAGTCAGCTTCAGAACCTTTGTACTGGCTGTTCCCTCTACCTAAAGCACTCATTATTTAGATTACTTGCCCACGCATCTACTCAAGTTCAAGTACCACTTTATTAGAAAGGACTGACCAACAAAATTGAAAGAACATCACAAATTCATTCTCATTCCTCCCTTGACTTTATTTTTCTTCATAGTACTTATTTCATAAAGATTTATTTCATTTACTTGTTCATTATCTGTCATTTCCAACTATAATGTGTAGTTTTGCTTTATTCATTATTGCATTCCTCGGACCTAAAACAAAACCTAGCATGTAAGTTTTCAATAAATATTTTGTGAATTAGCAAATTAATAAAGTTCAACATAGTAAGTTGTACTTAGTAACACATACACACACTACATTTAAATTGACACAATAGTATAATTTAAGTTGATTGGTGAGATTCATGTGGGTGACTTTGCTCCTAAAGTCTAGCTGCTCTAAATCAGTCATAACTAGGCACAGTTAGTCTCATAAAAGGTAACACCTCATTTTACTTTCTCTTGGTCTCCCTGAGGTAATAGGTTATGTAACACTCTGGTCCCTATAATAGCTGTTACTTAGAGAACCGTTATCCATCCTTCTTATACAGAATTCCTTGAGTCTCACAGGCTGCTGTGATGACTCATTCTTACTGCTTCTACTTTTTTTCATAAGCCTTGGGCTTCCTTCTCATCAAGTTAGTGAGACAACTCCTTAGCCCCACCCTCATATCCTATTCCACAGGTGTAGAAGACAATGACATAAAAACTAAATTTGACTACAACTAGGCATGTCATAGTCAAACTGTAGAATATTAGAGATAAAGAAAAAATTTTGATAGAGGTCAGATTAAAAAGAGAAACATCAGACATACAAGAAAACAAAGATGCAAATTACATCAAACTCCTCCTAAGAAACAATGCAAGTAAGAAGAGAGTGGAGTGGAATATTTGACATATTGAGAAAACAAAAACAAAAACACCAACATAGAATTATGTATCCTATCAATTTCTCCTTCAAAAGTAAATTTAAAAGTGAAGGAGAAATACTTTCTTAGACAAAAAAAAAAATTGAGGGCAATTGTTGCCAGTAGATCTTCCTTACAAAAGCAAACAAAAAAATAAAGAAGTTTATCACAAAGAAAGAAAATGATATAGGTCACAAACTCAGATCTACATAAAAAAAAAGAACATTACGGAAGGAATAAATGAAAATAATTTTTAAAAATTTTCTGTACTTTGATCTAATGAATAACAGTTTTTGCAAAATAATAACAATGTACTTGATTATTAAAACATATAAACATATATATTATAAGTGAAATTAATGACAGCAATGATAAAAGGGATAGAAAGAAGGAATTAGGAATATTTTGTTATTGCAAGATAATAACACTACCTGTGACATGATATAGTGTTATTTCAAAAATGGACTTGGATTAGTTTTAAATGTATATGTCTAACTCTACTATAATCACTAAAGAATAATTAAAAATTATAATTGATATGTTAAGAAAACAGGAAAGAGAATGATAAAAAAATGTTCAGTTAAAACAACAGAAGGCCTGGGGCCAAGATGGCTGATTAGAAGCAGCTGCAGTCCACAGCACTCAGAGAAAAATGAAAGGGGCAAGTGAATTCAGCATCTTCAACTGAAATATCCAGGTTCTCACACTGAAACTCACTAGGCAAACAACTTCACCCATGAAGAACAAAGAAAAGCAGGGTGGGGTGAAGGCCCAACCACGAGTGGCATGGAGCCAAAGGAACTGCCAGCCCCAGCCAAGGAAGTGGTGAGTGATTGTGCTACCCTGCCAGGGAAACCATGCTTCTCCCAAGGATCTTTGCAACCTGCAGATCAGGAGATCCCCTCATGAGCCTATGCCATCAGAGCCTTGGGTCTGACACAAAAAGCTGTGTGGAGTCTCAGCAGAACAGCCACTAAAACATACACAGACACCCAGGAGTTTAATATACTCTGGCCCTGGGATCCCCATCTGTAGATATCCCTAGAAAGGAGGCTGAATCCAGGGAGCCAAGCAGCATTGTTCTGTGGGCCCCACTTCCACAGCACGTCAAAAGTTAAGATCCGCTGGCTTGGAATTCCAGCCACCCAGTGGCAGCAGGCTGGAGTCTGCCTGAGACGGGACCAAGTTCCCAGGGAAAGGGGTGGCCACCCTCTCTGTGGTTCAGTAAACGCATACATTCCAGCCTGCTGGCTTTACAGAATCCAAATGGTCTGGAGGAGGGAGGTTCCCACACAATGCAGCGCAGCTGCTTTGCCAGATTGTGGCCAGACTGCTTCTTTAAATGGGACCCCAATCTATTCCTCTTCACTGGTCTGGGACCCTCTGAGGGGGCTTCAACCACTCCAGCAAGGATTATATGAACAGAGCTCTGATCTCTCCCTGGGACAGAGTTTCGGGGGGAGGGACGGTCACCATCGCTGCAGTTCTGTGAACTCAGCTGTTCTATTTTGCGAGCTTTGGAAGAGTCCAAATGGTCCAGAAGAGAAAGAATCCTCCCAACACAACATAGCACACCTGCTCTACCAAAAAATTGCCAGACTGCTTCCTTAAGCAGGTCCCTGATCCCATTCCGGCTGACTGGGTGAGACCTCCAAAAATGGGTCTCCAGGCACCTCCTACAAGTGCATTCAGGCTGGCAACAGGTCAATACTGCCCTGGTACAAAGCTTCCAAAGGAAGGAACAGGTTGCCATCTTTGCTCTTTCACAGCCTTCACTGGTGTCACCTCCAGGTACAGGAAAAAAATGAGGCAACTGGGGTCTCAAGTGCACCCCCAGCAAACCACAGCAGCCCTACAGAAGAGTGGTCTGACTGCTAAAAGAAAAACAAACAAACAGAAAACAACAACAACAACAAAAATGTCCCCATAAAACCCCATTCAAAGTTCAGAAAACTAAAAGATTGAAGGTAGATAAGCCCACAAAGATGAGAAATGATCAACACAAAAATGCTGAAAATTCAAAAAAACCAGAGTGCCTCTTCTCCTTCAAATGACTGTAACACCTGTCCAGCAAGGGCACAGAAGTGGGCTGAGGCTGAGATGACTGAATACACAGAAGTAGGCTTTAGAAGGTGGATAATAACAAACTTCACCGCGCTAAAGGAGCATGTTGTAACCCATTGCAAAAAAGCTAAGAATCATGACAAATAATACAGGAGCTGATAGCCAGAACAGCCAGTTTAGAGAAGAATATAACCGGCCCTGATAGAGCTAAAAAGCAGACAACAAGAATTTCACAATGCAATCACAAGTACCAATAGCAAAAGAGATGGAGGAAAGAATCTCAGAACTTGAAGACTATCTTTCTGAAATAAGACAGTCAGACAAGAATACGAAATAAAGAATGACAAGAAATGACAAAACCTTTGAGAAACATGGGATTGTGTAATGAAACCAAACCTATGACTGATTGGGGTACCTGAAAGAGATGGGGAGAATGGAAGCAAATTGGAAAACATACTCCAGAATATCATCCAGAAGAACTTCCCCAACATAGCAAGAAAGGCTAACATTAAAATTCAGGAACTGTGGGAAACCCAGGAAGATACTCCATGATAAGGTCCACCCCAAGACACATAATCCTCAGATTCTCTGAGGTCAAAATGAAAGAAAAAGTGTTAATGACAGCCAGGGAGAAAGTTCAGGTCACCTAAAATTAGAAGCCCACCAGAATAACGGCAGACCTCTCAGCGGATATCCTACAAGCCAGAAGAGATTGGGGGCCACTATTCAAATTTTTAAAGAAAAAATTTCTAACCCAGAATTTCATATCTAGCCAAACTAAGCTTCATAAGCAAAGGAGAAAAAAGCTGCTTTTCAGATAAGCAAATTCTGAAAGAATTCATCACCACCAGGCCTGCTTTGCAAGAGATCCTGAAGGAAGCACTAAATATGGGAAAGAAAAACCATTACCAGCCACTACAGAAACACACTGCTGTACACAGACAAGTGACACTATGAAGCAATTACATAAACAAGTTTCAAATTCACACATAACAATACTAACTGTAAAGGTACATGAGCTAATTGTCCCAGTTAAAAAACACAGAGCAGCAAGCTGGATAAAGAACCAAGACCCACTGGTATGCTATCTTCAAGATACCCATCTCACCTGCAAAGACACACACAGGCTCAAAATAAAGAAATAAAAAAATTTACCAAGCAAATGAAAAACAGAAAAAAACAGGGGTTACAATCATAGTTTCTTAGAAAACAGACTTTAAACCAACAAAGATAAAAAAAAGACAAACAGGGACATTACCTAATGGTAAAAGGTTCAATTCAGCAAGAAGAGCTAACTACCCTAAATATATATGCAACCAATACATGAGTACCCAGATTCATAAAGCAAGTTCTTAGAGACCTACAAAAAAACTTATACTCCCTCACAATAATAGTGGAAGAAGTTAAAACCTCACTGACAATATAAGATAGACCAATGAGACAGAAAATTAACAAAGATATTCAGGGCCTAAACTCAGCTCTGGATGAAGTGGATCTGATATCGACAGAACTCTCCACCCGAAAACAGCAAAATATACAGTATTCTTCTAATTGCCTCATGGCACTTAATCTAAATATGATTACATAATCTAAAGTAAAACACTCCTGAGCAAATGCAAATAAACTGGGATCATAACAGTCTTTCAGACCACAGCACAATCAAATTAGAACTCAAGATTAAAGAATTCACTCAAAACCACACAAATACATGGAAATTGAACAACCTGCTCCTGAATGACTCTGGGGTAAATAATGAAATTAAGGCAGAAATCAAGAAGTTCTTTGAAACTAATGAGAACAAACAGGCAACATACCAGAATCTCTGGGATGCAGCTAAAAAAGTGTTAAGAGGGAAATTTATAGCACTAAATGCCCACATCAAAAAGCTAGAAAGATCTCAAGTTAACAACCTAACATCACAACTAAAAGAACTAGAGAACTAGAGCAAACAGACCCAAAAGCTAGCAGAAGACAAGAAATAACCAAGATCGGAGCTGAACTGAAGGATATAGAGACACAAAAAGCCCTTCAAAAAAATCAATGAATCTAGAAGCTGATTTTTTAAAAAATTAATAAAATAGATATACCACTAGCTAGACTAATAAAGAAAAAAGAGAGAAGAAGCAAACACAATCAGAAATGATAAAGGGGATCACCACTGACTCCATAGAAATGCAAACAACCATCACAGAATACTATAAACATCTCTATGCACATAAACTAGAAAATGTAGATGAAATGAATAAATTTCTGAACACATACACCCTCCTAAAAATGTACCAGGAAGAAAATGAATCACTGCATAGACAAATAACGAGTTCTGAAATTGAGGCAGTAATAACTAGCCTACCAACCAAAAAAGGCCCAGAACCAGAAAGATTCACAGCCAAATACTACCAGAGGTACAAAGAAGAGCTAGCACCATTTCTACTGAAACTATTCCAAAAAATTGAAAACGAAGGACTCCTCCCTAACTCATTCTATCAGGCCAGAATCATCTTGATACCAAAACCTGGCAGAAATACAATAAAATATAATACTCAAGTCAATATACTTGATGAACATTGATGCAAAAATTCTTAATAAAATACTGGCAAACCAAATGCAGCTGCACATCAAAAAGCTTATCCACCATAATCAAGTAGGCTTTATCTCTGGGATGCAAAGCTAGTTTCACATATGCAAATCAATAAATGTTATTTGTCACATAAACAGAACTAAAGACAAAACCACATAGTTGTCTCAATAGATGCAGAAAACACTTTTGATAAAATTCAACATCCCTTTATGTTAAAAACTCTAAATAAACTATATAATGAAGGAACATACCTCAAAATAATAAGAGCCATCTATAACATATATATAAGCAAAAGCTGAAAGCATTCCCCTTACAACCGGTACAAGACAAGAATGTCCTCTCTCACCACTTTTATTGAACATAGTATTGGAAGTTCCGGACAGATCAAACAGGCAAGAGAAAGAAATAAAGAGCATCCCAACAGGAAGAGGGGAACTAAATTATCTTTGTATGCAGATGACATGATCCTAGTGAAGAACCTCTTTAAAAAGAACTACAAACCACGGCTCAAAAAAATCAGAGATGACACAAACAAATGGAAAAACCTTCCATCTTCATTGATAGGAAGAATCAATATTGTGAAAATGGCCAAACTGCCCAAAGTAACTTATAGATTCAAATCTATTTTCATTAAACTATCATTGACATTCTTCACAGAATTAGAAAAAAACTTTTAAAACTCATATGGGACCAAAAAAGAGCCCAAAAAGCCCAGACAATCCTAAACCAAAAGAACTAAGCTGGAGATATCATGCTACCTGACTTCAAACTATGCTACAAGCCTACAGCAACCAAAACAGCCTGGCACTAGTACAAGAAATGACACATAGACCAATGGAACAGAATAGAGAACTCAGAAATAAGATGGCACACCTACAACCATCTAATCTTCAACAAACCTGACAAAAATAAGCAATGGGGAAAGAATTACCTATTTAATAAGTGGTGCTGGAGTAACTGGCTAGCCATTTGCAGAAAATTGAAACCAGGCCCCTTCCTTATACCATATACAAAAATTAATTCAAGATGGATTAAAGACTCAAATGTAAAACCTAAAACCCTAGAAGAAAATCTAGGCAATAATATTCACAACATAGGCACGGGCAAAGATTTCATAACAAAAACACCAAAAGCAATTGCAATGAAAGGAAATTTGACAAATTGGATCTAATTAAACTAAAGAGCTTCTGCAAAGCAAGAGAAACTATCATGAGTGAACAGACAATCTACAGAATGAGAGAAAATGTTTGCAATCTATCCACTTGACAAAGGTCTAATATCCAGAGTCTACAAGAAACTTAAACAAATTATTTACAAGAAAAAAACAACCCCATGAAAAAGTTGGCAAAGGACATGAAAAGACACTTATCAAAGAAGACATACATATGGCCAACAAACATATTTTTAAAAGCTCAACGTCTCTGATCAATAGAGAAATGCAAATCAAAACCACAATTAGATACCATCTCATGCCAGTCAGAATGGCAATTATTAAAAAGTGAAAAAAAAAAAGGTTCTGGCAAGCTTGTGAAGGAAAAGGAACCCTTTTATACTGTGGTGGGAGCGTAAATTATTTCAACCATGTGGAAGACAGCGTGGCAATTCCCCAAAGACCTAAAACCAGGAATACCATTTGACCCAGCAACTCCATTACTGGGGACATACCCGAAGGAATATAAATCCTTCTATCATAAGGATACATGCATGTGTATGTTCATTGCAGCACTATTCACAATAGCAAAGACATGGAATCAACCTAAATCCCCATCAATGATAGACTGGATAAAGAAAATGTGCTACATATGCACCATGGAATACTATGTAGCCACAAAAAGAAAAAAAACATGTCCTTTTCAGGGACATGGATGGAGTTGGAAGCCATTATGCTCCTCAAACTAATGCAGGAAGAGAAAACCAAACACTGCATGTTCTCACTTATAAGTGGGAGCTGAATGATAAGAACACATGGACATATGGTGGGAACAACATACACTGGGGCCTGTTGTTGGGGGTCATGGAGGATGGAGAGGATCAGGAAGAACAGCTAATGAATGTCAGGCTTAATACCTAGGCGATGGAATGATCTGTGCAGCAAAACAACATAGCACACGTTTTCCTATGTACCAAACCTACACATCCTGCACACGTACCCCAGAACTTAAAATAAAAGTTGAAGAAAAAAAGACATAAAAGGTAGATACTAAAGGAAGTTCTTCAAACTGAAAGTAAAATACATTAATGAGTAACCTGAAATCATTTGAAAGTATAAAATTCGCTGGTAAAAGAATATACATAGACAAGAATACTCTAAAACTGAAACAATGGTGAGTGAATCACATATCATAAGTATGTAAGTAAAAAGACGAAACTGTTAAAAATAATAATTACAATAATTTGTTAAAATATATGCAGTATAAACAGACATAAATTATGATGTCAAAGATTCAAGCTGGGGGAGGGATTAAAATATAGAAACTTTTTATTAATGTGATCAAAGTAATATTGTTTACAGCTTAAAATGACCTGGTATATCTGTAAGATGTTTTTTATAAGCCTCATGGTAACAATGAAGCAAAATCTTGTAATAAATATGCTAAAATAAAAAGCAAGAAATCAAAATAAACTACTAGAGGAAATCGCTTAACTACAAAGAAAGACAATAAGAGATGAAGAAAGGAAGAAATGATCCATAAGAAAACTAGAAAACAATTTTTAAAATAGCAGTAATATGTCCTTACCCTTCAATAATGTCCTTGAATATAAATTGATTAAATTCTCCACTTAAAAGATATAGAGTGGCTAAATAAATAAAGAAACAAAGAGAAAGCAGGAAAGATCCAAAATTGACACCCTAACATCACAATTAAAAGAACTAGAAAAGCAAGAGCAAACACATTCAAAAGCTAGCAGAAGGCAACAAATAACTAAAATCAGAGCAGAACTGAAGGAAATAGAGACACAAAAAACCCTTCAAAAAATCAATGAATCCAGGAGCTGGTTTTTTGAAAGGATCAACAAAATTGATAGACCGCTAGCAAGACTAATAAAGAAAAAAAGAGAGAAGAATCAAATAGACACAATAAAAAATGATAAAGGGGATATCACCACCGATCCCACAGAAATACAAACTACCATCAGAGAATACTACAAACACCTCTACGCAAATAAACTAGAAAATCTAGAAGAAATGGATAAATTCCTCGACACATACACTCTCCCAAGACTAAACCAGGAAGAAGTTGAATCTCTGAATAGACCAATAACAGGCTCTGAAATTGTGGCAATAATCAATAGTTTACCAACCAAAAAGAGTCCAGGACCAGATGGATTCACAGCCGAATTCTACCAGAGGTACAAGGAGGAACTGGTACCATTCCTTCTGAAACTATTCCAATCAATAGAAAAAGAGGGAATCCTCCCTAACTCATTTTATGAGGCCAGCATCATTCTGATACCAAAGCCGGGCAGAGACACAACCAAAAAAGAGAATTTTAGACCAATATCCTTGATGAACATTGATGCAAAAATCCTCAATAAAATACTGGCAAACCGAATCCAGCAGCACATCAAAAAGCTTATCCACCATGATCAAGTGGGCTTCATCCCTGGGATGCAAGGCTGGTTCAATATACGCAAATCAATAAATGTAATCCAGCATATAAACAGAGCCAAAGACAAAAACCACATGATTATCTCAATAGATGCAGAAAAAGCCTTTGACAAAATTCAACAACCCTTCATGCTAAAAACTCTCAATAAATTAGGTATTGATGGGACGTATTTCAAAATAATAAGAGCTATCTATGACAAACCCACAGCCAATATCATACTGAATGGGCAAAAACTGGAAGCATTCCCTTTGAAAACTGGCACAAGACAGGGATGCCCTCTCTCACCGCTCCTATTCAACATAGTGTTGGAAGTTCTGGCCAGGGCAATCAGGCAGGAGAAGGAAATAAAGGGTATTCAATTAGGAAAAGAGGAAGTCAAATTGTCCCTGTTTGCAGACGACATGATTGTTTATCTAGAAAACCCCATCGTCTCAGCCCAAAATCTCCTTAAGCTGATAAGCAACTTCAGCAAAGTCTCAGGATACAAAATCAATGTACAAAAATCACAAGCATTCTTATACACCAACAACAGACAAACAGAGAGCCAAATCATGGGTGAACTCCCATTCACAATTGCTTCAAAGAGAATAAAATACCTAGGAATCCAACTTACAAGGGATGTGAAGGACCTCTTCAAGGAGAACTGCAAACCACTGCTCAAGGAAATAAAAGAGGACACAAACAAATGGAAGAACATTCCATGCTCATGGGTAGGAAGAATCAATATCGTGAAAATGGCCATACTGCCCAAGGTCATTTACAGATTCAATGCCATCCCCATCAAGCTACCAATGACTTTCTTCACAGAATTGGAAAAAACTACTTTAAAGTTCATATGGAACCAAAAAAGAGCCCGCATTGCCAAGTCAATCCTAAGCCAAAAGAACAAAGCTGGAGGCATCACACTACCTGACTTCAAACTATACTACAAGGCTACAGTAACCAAAACAGCATGGTACTGGTACCAAAACAGAGATATAGATCAATGGAACAGAACAGAGCCCTCAGAAATAATGCCGCATATCTACAACTATCTGATCTTTGACAAACCTGAGAAAAACAAGCAATGGGGAAAGGATTCCCTATTTAATAAATGGTGCTGGGAAAACTGGCTAGCCATATGTAGAAAGCTGAAACTGGATCCCTTCCTTACACCTTATACAAAAATCAATTCAAGATGGATTAAAGATTTAAACGTTAAACCTAAAACCATAAAAACCCTAGAAGAAAACCTAGGCATTACCATTCAGGACATAGGCGTGGGCAAGGACTTCATGTCCAAAACACCAAAAGCAATGGCAACAAAAGACAAAATTGACAAATGGGATCTAATTAAACTAAAGAGCTTCTGCACAGCAAAAGAAACTACCATCAGAGTGAACAGGCAACCTACAACATGGGAGAAAATTTTCGCAACCTACTCTTCTGACAAAGGGCTAATATCCAGAATCTACAATGAACTCAAACAAATTTACAAGAAAAAAACAAAAAACCCCATCAAAAAGTGGGCAAAGGACATGAACAGACACTTCTCAAAAGAAGACATTTATGCAGCCAAAAAACACATGAAGAAATGCTCATCATCACTGGCCATCAGAGAAATGCAAATCAAAACCACTATGAGATATCATCTCACACCAGTTAGAATGGCAATCATTAAAAAGTCAGGAAACAACAGGTGCTGGAGAGGATGCGGAGAAATAGGAACACTTTTACACTGTTGGTGGGACTGTAAACTAGTTCAACCCTTGTGGAAGTCAGTGTGGCAATTCCTCAGGGATCTAGAACTAGAAATACCATTTGACCCAGCCATCCCATTACTGGGTATATACCCAAAGGACTATAAATCATGCTGCTATAAAGACACATGCACACGTATGTTTATTGCGGCACTATTCACAATAGCAAAGACTTGGAACCAACCCAAATGTCCAACAATGATAGACTGGATTAAGAAAATGTGGCACATATACACCATGGAATACTATGCAGCCATAAAAAATGATGAGTTCATGTCCTTTGTAGGGACATGGATGAAATTGGAAACCATCATTCTCAGTAAACTATCGCAAGAACAAAAAACCAAACACCGCATATTCTCACTCATAGGTGGGAATTGAACAATGAGATCACATGGACACAGGAAGGGGAATATCACACTCTGGGGACTGTGATGGGGTCGGGGGAGGGGGGAGGGATAGCATTGGGAGATATACCTAATGCTAGATGACACGTTAGTGGGTGCAGCGCACCAGCATGGCACATGTATACATATGTAACTAACCTGCACAATGTGCACATGTACCCTAAAACTTAGAGTATAATAAAAAAAAAAAAAAAAAAGAAACAAGACTCAACTATATGCTTCTTACAAGAAACTGAATTAATAGGTAAGGACAAACATAGCCTGAAAGTGAAGGAATAAAAAAAGACATTCCACACAAAAAGAAACCAAAAGAGAGGAGTAGCTATACTTGTAGCAGGTAACTTAGACTTTAAAATGAAAACCATACAGAGACAAAAAAGTAATTACATAATGATAAAGGGATTAATTCAGCAAGAGAATATAATAATCATAAATATATATGCACCCAACATTGGGGCACTTAAATATATAAAACAAATATTAATAGTTCTTAAGGGAGAGATTGACTGCAACACAATACTAGTAGGGGACATCAACGTCTCACTTACAGAAACTGACTGATCGTCCACACAGAAAACCAACAAAGAAACATTGTTTTTAATCAGCATTCGAATCCAAATGGACCTAAATGAAATTTATACAATAAACAGCTGCAGAATATACAACCTTCTCAACTGCATATGGAACATTCCCTAGGATAGATCATATATTATGCCACAAAACAAGTCCTAACCTATTTAAGAGATTGAAATTATATCAAATTTTTTCTTACCACAGTGACATAACACTAGAAATCAGTAATAGAAGAAACTTCAAAACTTCTACAAATACATGAAAATTTGTAAAAATGCTCATTAATAACCAAAAGTTTAATTAAGAAATTTGATGACATTTTAAAAATTTCTTTTTTTTTTTTTTTGTTCACTCTGATGGTAGTTTCTTTTTTTTTTTTCTTTTTTTTCTTTTTTTTTATTATTATTATACTTTAAGTTTTAGGGTACATGTGCACATTGTGCAGGTTAGTTACATATGTATACATGTGCCATGCTGGTGCGCTGCACCCACTAACGTGTCATCTAGCATTAGGTATATCTCCCAATGCTATCCCTCCCCCCTCCCCCGACCCCACCACAGTCCCCAGAGTGTGATATTCCCCTTCCTGTGTCCATGTGATCTCATTGTTCAATTCCCACCTATGAGTGAGAATATGCGGTGTTTGGTTTATTGTTCTTGCGATAGTTTACTGAGAATAAAAATTTCTTGAGAAAAGTGAAATTCGAAACAGCATACCAAATCCTATGGGATACATCAAAAGCAATTCTAAGAGCAATATACAATTGCTTCAAAAAAAGGAAATATCTCAAATAAGCAATGTGACTGTGCACTTCAGAAAACTATAAAAACAAGAATGAATTAAACCCCCGCAAAAAGAAGAGGATTGAGAACAGTGGGAAAGTCTTTCCCCTGCCTTTCTGATAAGCATTCCATAATTTCAATACTTTTTAAGGATCTCATTTTATTGCTTATGATATAAATTATGTTATATCTTTCTATTTTTTAAACTTGTTTTTCAGTATGTAAACAACTCCCAAACCACTAATCAAACTTTGCAGATACTAAACCAGTGTTTCAGATAAAACTTATATGATCTTTTAAATATAAGCCTAATAAATACATTCATTAGAAAAAGAATTAAAAAATCATAGAAGAAATAAATAAAAAATAAAAGAGCACAAAAGATCAACAAAATGTATAATTGGTATTATGAAAAGGTAAACAAAATCAACAAACCATTATCCACACTAAGGAAAAAAGAGAGAAAACTCAAATAAACAAAACCAGAGATGAAAAAGGAGATATTACAACTGATACCACAGAAATATAAAATAACTATTGTGAACAATTATACACCAACAAATTGGATAAATTCCTGTACTCATACAACCTACGAAGGTTGAATCATAAAGTAACAAAAAATTTCAACAAACCAATAATAAGTTTGAGACTGAATCAGTAATAAAAGGTTTACTATCAGAGAAAAGCCCAGGACCTCATGACTTTACTGCTGAATTCTACCAAACATATAAGGAAGAACTAGCCACACACGATGGCTCAAGCCTGTAGTCCTAGACTATTGGGAGGCCAAGGCAGGAGGATTGCTTGAGACCAGGAGTTTGAGATCAGCCTGGGCAACATAGCAAGACCCTGTCTCTACAAAAAATAATAATAATAATTTACCAGTTATCGTGGTGTGTGCCTGTAGTGCTAGCTATTTAGGAGGCTGATGAGAGTGTCACTTAAGCTGAGTTCAAGGCTACAGTGAACCATGATAGCACTACTGCATTCCAGCCTGGGTGACAGGGCAAGGCCTTATCTTAATAAAAAATAAAATAAAATAATGTAAACAGCTACTACCAATTCTATCTCAAATTATTCCAAAAACGTAAAGATGAGAGAGTATTTCCAGAATCACTCTACAAGGTCAGCATTACCATAATACCAAAATCAGAGAAGAGCACAGAAAAAGAAAACTACAGGCAAATATCTCTAATATGCATAGATGCAAAAATCCCCAATAAAATACTAGCAAAGTGAATTTAACAGCACATTAAAAATATTAGTCACCACGATTAAGTTGGATTCATCCCAGGCATGCAAGTATGTTTCAATATATGCAAATTGATAAACATGATAAATCTCATTAACAAAATGTAGGACAAAGACCATATGATAATTTCAGTTGGTGCAGAAAAAGCATTTGACAAAATTCAAAATAACTCCAAACACACTAGGATTACAAGGAACACACCTTAAGATAATAAAGACCATATATGACTAATCTGTAGTTTACATCATACTCAATGGCAAAAAGTTGAAGGCTTTCCCTATAAGACTTGGAAAGGATCCCCACTTTCATCACTTCTTTTTCAACACAGTAATATCCCTAACCAGAGAAACTAGACCAGAAAAAAAAAAAAAAATTCATTCAAATTGGAAAAGTAGAAGTTAAACTGTCCATGTTTGCAGAAAGTATAGTCTTATATGTAGGAAACCCAAGTGACTCCAGTGAAAAACTATTCAAACTAATAAATGATTTCAGCAAAGTTGCAGAATACAAAATTAAAGTACATAAACCATAGTATTTCTATACACAGTGAAATATCAATAGGTACAAAAAATAAAATGTTTAAGAAAAAAATTAATCAATGGGGATAAAGGTCTCTACACTGAAAACTATAAAATATTGATGAAAGATATTGAAGAAGGCACAAATAAATGGAAGAATATTCTGCGATTATGGATTGGACTAATTAATATTGTAAAAACGTCAATATTACAGATTCAATGCAATCTCTATTAAAATATCAATGACATTTCTTATGGAAATAGATAAAAATTCTAAAAATTATATGGAACTACAAAAGACCCCAAATAGCCAAAGCAAGCTTGAGCAAAAAAAGAAAAGCTGGAGGCATCACACTACCTGACTTCCAAATATATTACAAAGTTATAGTAACCAAAACAGCATGGTACTGGCATGAAAACAGACACATAGACCCATGGGACAGAAAAGATAGCCCAAAAATAAATCCATGCATGCCCAGACATAAATCCATGTGTTTACAACCTACTGATTCTTCACAAAGGTGGCAAGGACACACGATGGAGAAATGACCGTCTCTTCCACAAATAGTGCTGAGAAAGCTGGATATCCACTTGCAGAGGAATGAAGCTAGAAGTCCCTTATCTCTTGGCATATACAAAAATCAACTGGAAATGGATGAAAGACATAAATGCAAAACCTGAAATGAAAAAAACTCCCAGAAGAAAACTTGGGGAGATGCTTCATGACACTGATCTAGGCAAAAAATTTTTGGATAAGACCCCAAAAGAATAAGCTACAAAAGCAAAAAGAAACAAATGGGATTTCAACAAACTTAAAAGTTTCTGCACAGCAAAAGAAACAATCACCACAATGAAAAGACAACCTACAAAATGAGAGAAAAAATATTTACAACTACACATCTGACAAGGGGTTAATATCCAGATTGCGTAAGAAACTCAAAAAAGACAATAGCAAAAAAAAAAAAAAACATACACACACACACACACACACACACACACACACAAAATACTACTTAAAAATGAGCAAAAGACCTGAATAGACATTTCTCAAAAGAAGACACAAGAATGGCCAACAGGCAGGTAAAAAAAAATGTTCTGCATCATTCACCACAATGTAAATGGAAATCAAAGCCACAATGAGCGATCACTTCACCCAAATTAGAGTGGCCATTATCAAAAAGACAAAAAATAAGGCTGGGTGCAGTGACCCATGCCTGTAATCCCAGGACTTTGGGAAGCTGAAGCAGAAGGATCCCTTAAGGCCAAAAGTTTGAGACCAGCCTGTGCAACATAGCAAATTCCCATCTCCACAAAAAAATGTTAAAAGGATAACTGGGCATGGTGGCATATGCCTATAATACCAATTACTCAAGAGGCTGAGGCAGGATAATCACTTGAGCCCAGGAGTTTGATCATACCACTGAACTCTAGACTGCACAACAGAGCAAGACCCTGTCACTAATATATATACATATATATATATATATATACACACACACACACATATATAGTATAATATATATAATAATATGTAATTTTTAAACAAGGAGTAGCAAATGCTGCTGTAGATGTGAAAAAAGAGGAACTCATACACTTTTTGTGGAAATGAAAATTAACGTAGTCATTATGGAAAATAATATGGAGTTTCCTCAAATAATTAAAAATAAAATTACTATATGATCCAGCAATCTCACTACTAGGTGTATACCCAAAGGAAATAAAATCAGTATATCAAAGAGGTATCTGCATTCCCATGTTTATTACAGCAAAATTCACAATAGTCAAGACATGGAATCAACTTGTGTTCATGAACAGATTAATGGATAAAGAAAATGTGGTGTATACACACACACACACACACACACACACACACACACACAGTGGAATACTTTTCAGTCATAAAAAAGAATAAAATCCCATCATTCGCAACAACATGGATGAACCTGGCGCTCATTATGTTAAGTTAAACCAGACATAGAAAGACAATCTTCACATGTTCTCACTCATTTGTGGCACCTAAAAATCAAAACGTCGAACTAATGGAGACAGAGAGGAGAATGATGGTTACCAGAAGCTGGGAAGGGCACTGGGGAGGAGGGAGAAAAGTGGAGATGTTTAATGAACATAACAATATAGTTAGATAGAATGAATAAGATCTAATATTGATAAATTATTAAATTATTGAGGTGAAGGCTTCCCCATTTTACCCTGATGTGATTACTATACACTATATGCCTGTATCAAAATATCTCATGCACCCTATAAATATATACACCTACCATTTACTCATAAACATTAAAAATTAAAGAGGTTGGTTTTATAGAAGAAGAGAGTAGAATAGTGGTTTCCATCATCTAGGAAATGGTGCGAGGGAGGAGAGAGGGAGAGGTTGGTCAACAGGTACAACATTACAGTTACATAAGAGGGATAATCTCTGCTGTTCCATTGCACAGTAGAGTAACTACATAAGGAGACTACAATTAACAATATTGTATTATAAATTTCAAAATAGCTGGAAGACAAGATTTTTAATGTTCTCACAACAAAGAAATGATAAATACATGAGGCAATATATATGCTAAATATCCTGCATTGATTTTTACACAAAACTTTAAAAAAGAATGTCTGCACCAAAATAAAAGAAACACATACAAACACACACAAAGCAGAAAAAGGATGGAAGGCAAAAATAAGAACAAAGAACAAGGACAATGAATTAAAAATAGTAACAAATATGTTAGATGTGTATCCAACTTCAATGGTCTAGATACATCAATTAAAGAAGAGAAATTGTCAGAGTGGATCAAAATACAAGGTCCAACTATACCTTGCCAAAAAATTCCATTTTAAATATAAATATGTATGCAAATTAAAAAAGTAAAGGGATGGATAAGTTGTACCATGCTAACACAAATCAAAAGAAAGCTTGAGTTGCCATATTAATTTTATTCCAGGGAGACTTCAGTGTAAGGAAATTTATCAGAAATAAAGGGGGCCATTACAAAATGAGAGAGGAGTCAATTTTTCCAAAAAGACACAGACAACCTTAAAGTATATGCCACAGAGCATCAAAATGTGAGGCAAAACTGATAGAAGTTCAAGAATACATAGGCGAATCAACTATTAGAGCAGGAGACTCTAACACCCGTCTATCAGATATGGACAGATCTAGCAGGCAGGAAGTCAGTAAGGACATAGTTGAATTCAGTGAAACCATCAATCAACTGGATATAATCTACCTCTGTAGATTACTTCATCCAGCAACAGCAAATTACACATTCTTCTCAAGTTCACTTGGAACATTCACTAAGATAGATCACATTTTGGGCCATAGAAAAAACCCTGAACAATTTTAAATGAAAGGAAATTATACAAGGTCTGTTCTCAGACCACAATGGAATTAAACAGAAATCGGTAACATAAAGATAGCTAGAAACCCCCAGAATACTTGGAGATTAAACACACTTCTAAATAACACAAGGGTCAAAGAAGAAGTTTCCATGGAAATTTAAAAATATTTTGTACTAAATAAAAATAAAAATACAACTATTCAAAATTTATGGGATGCAGAAAAAACTGCTTAGAAGGAAATTTACAGCATTGAAGGCACAAATTAGAAATGAAGAAAAATATAAAATTAATAATCTAATCTTCTACCTTAAGAAACTAAAAAAAGAAAAAAGCAAATTAAATCCAAACTGAGCAGAAGAAAGAAGAAAAATTAGAGTGGAATATTGGATATCTATATGCAGAAGAACGAAACTGAGCCCTTATCTCACATGGTATACAAAAATCAACTCAAGATAGATTAAAGATTCAAACGTGAGACCAAAAGCTATAAAGTTACTAGAAAACATGGAGAAAACACTTCAGAATTCTGATGTAGGCAAATATTTTATGGCTAAAACATCAAAAGCACAGACAATAAAAACAAAAATAGACAAATGGGACTATCTTAAACTAAAAAACTTATTCACAGCAAAGGAAATAACCAACACAATGGAGAAATACCCTCTTGAATGGGAGAAAATATTTGCAAACTATTCATCCAACAAGGGACTGAAATCCAGAATACACAAGGAACTCAAACAACTCGATAGTAAAAAAGTAATAATAATGATTTCATTAAAAAGTGGGCAAAGAACATGAATAGACATTTCCCAAAAGAAGACATACAAATGGCTAACAGTTATATGAAAAAATGTCCAACATCATTAATCATCAGGAAAATGTAATTCAAAACCACAATGAGATATCATCCTACCCTGGTTAGAATAGCCATTATTAAAAAGTCAAAAAATAACAGGTGCTGGCAAGGATGTGAAGAGAACTATATTCTTATTCACCGTTGGTAGGAATGTAAATTTGTACAGCCACTATGGAAAACATTATGGAGACTTCTAAAACAAACTAAAAATAAAAGATGCAAATCAAAACCACAATGAGACACCATCTCACACAGTCAGACTGGCTATTACTAAAAAGTCAAAAAATAACTGGTGCTTGCAAGGTTGCAGAGAAAAGAGAATGCTTATACACTATTGGTGGGAGTTGTAAATTGGTTCAACCATTGTGGAAGACAGTGTGGCAATTCCTCAAAAACCTAGACACAGAAATACAATTTGATCCAGCAATCCCATTACTGGGTATATACCCAAAGGAATATAAATAGTTGTATCATAAAGACACATGCATGTCTATGTTCATTGCAACACTATTCACAATAGCAAATACATGGAATCAACCTAAATGCCCATCACTGATAGACTGGTTAAAGAAAATGTGGCACCCATACACCATAGAATACTATGCACCCATAAAAAGAATGAGTTCGGGCCAAGTGCCGTGTCTCATGCCTGTAATTCCAGAACTTTGGGAGGTCGAGGCAGGTGGATCACCTGAGGGCAGGAGTTCAAGACCAGCCTGGCCAACATGGCAAAACCCCGTCTCTACTAAAAATACAAAAAAATTAGCCGGGCGTGATGGCAGGGGCCTGTAATCCCAGCTCCTTGGGAGGCAGAGGCAACAGAATCACTTGAACCCTGGAGGCGGAGGTTGAAGTGAGCCAAGATCACGCCATTGCACTCCAGCCCAGGCAACAAGAGTGAAACTCTGTCTCAAAAAAAAAAAAAAAAAAAAACCTACGAGATCATGTCCTTTGCAGAAACATGGATGGAGCTGGAGGCCATTATCCTAAGCAAACTAATGAAGGAACAGAAAACCAAATACCAGATGTTCTCACTTGTAAGTGGGAGCTAAATGATAAGAACATATGGACACAAAGAGGGGAACAACACACCCTGGAGCCTGTTGGAGGGTACAGGGTAGGAGGAGGAGGAGATACTCAGAAAAAAACTATTGGGTACTAGGCTTAGTACCTGGGTGACAAAATAATCCGTACAACAAACCCCCAGGACATGAGTTTACATATATAATAAATCTCCACATTTACCCTTGAATCTAAAATAAAAGTTTAAAAAACACAAATAAAATAAAAATAAAATTGAATATATCAAATCTTCAAGAAAAAAAAAAACTAAAAAAACTACCAGTAATCCCACAACTGGTTATTTATCCAAAAGAAAAGAAACCGGTGTAGCAAAGCAATATCTGCACTCACAGGTTAATTGCAGCACTATTCAAAATAATAAAGATATGGAATTGACCTGTCTATCAATGAATGCATGGATAAAGAAAGTATGGTATATATACACAATGGAATATTATCAGCATTAAAAATGAAATCATGCCATTAGTAGCAACAGAGAAAGAACTGGAGGTCATTATGTTAAGTAAAATAAGCCAGACACACACAAAAAAATCTCATATTTTTCCTCATAGTGTGGGAATTTAAAAAGTAGATCTTATGAAAGTAGAGAATAGAATGGTAAATACCAGAGGCTAGGAAGGTTCAGTGGGTGGGTAGGAGGAATGGATAGAAGTTGGTCAATGGGAACAAACACACAGTTAGATAGAATGTATACATTTTAATAAAAAGTAGGATGACCATAGTTAGCAACAATGTATTGTATATTTCTAAGTAGCTGAAAGAGAGATCTTGAAATGTCCCCAACACATAGAAATAATAAATACCGATGTGGGGATACCCTAAATATCCCAACTTGATCATTACACCTTCTATGCATGTAACAAAATATAATATGTACCCCATAAATATGTAAAATATGTTGTATCAATAAAAAAATCAGTGTGGAAATCAACAAAGTTAAAAACAAGTCAAAAGAGAAAAACAAGGAATAGAAAAGCTGTTTCTGGAATAGAGTAATACAATCAATAAGCCTCTAGCCAGGATACCTAAGAATAAAAGAGAGAAGACTCCAATCACTAATGTCAGAAATAAAAGAGGGGACAGCATTACAGATCTCATGGACAATATAAGGATAGTATATGAATATATATGAATATTATTAACAACTCTATGCTCACAATTTGATAACTTACATGAAATGGACCAGCTCCTTGAAAGACACATCTACCAAATTTCATAGAAGAAGTAGACACTTTGAAAAGGCCTATATCTATTTTTAAAGTTGAATCAATAAACAATAACCTTCCAAAATAAAAAGCATGAGGCCCAGACTTGTACACTGATTAATTCTACCAAGAATTTAAGAAAGAAATTGTTCCAATTCTCTATAATCTTTTCTTAAAGGTAGAATCAAAGAAAATATTTCCTAAGTCAAACCATGAGATTAGCATTAACCTGATACCAAAACTAAAGACATTGCAAGAAAAAAACCACAGTCCAAATCTGTCAATAAAATATCATCAAAGTAAATGAAACAATGTATAAAATAATCACACAACATAACCAAGTGGAATTTATTCCATTTATTCAAATCTCATTCAACTTGTGAAAACCAGTTAACACAGTCCATCACCTCAACAGGCTAAAGAACAAAACTATGTTTGTTCTATTCATATCTGTGTTTGATGTATTACTCTCTCTCTCTCTATATATATATATATATACATATATCACCACCTTAGGTAGAAAAAAATGTGCCTGGTTTCAGTTCCACTTTTGCCACAGGAGTTTAATCTTGAACAAGATGAAAACAAATGTGGAACACTACTGAAGAGTTTCAGTTATGCCCTTGAATTAATATGGCAGTTGATCAAGGTTTCCTTATAAGCATAACTTCAAATTTTTTAATAGAGATTTCAGGATTTATGGTATAGTCCTGGGGAGGTCTATAATTAAAGGAACTGCTCATATTTCATAATACATTATAAACTAATAACGTGTTAATTAATGAATTATAGATCTCCCTCAGAAATTACAGAAGATATTTGTACTAAAATATTGTGGGATATATTTACTAGTCCATCAAATTCAGTTAGAAATCAGTCAGTTCTTCTACAAATTATTATGAAATAAAGATATTCACAAATGCCACAAGTTTAGGAGAAACAGATTTCACTTATTTGGATCACTAATCCCTTGTTAAATCATAGGCATTAGCTACTTAATGCTATTTTGTACATGCTAACTGCCATTTATTTGTAAAAAGGGGAGACGGATTGCCTTACAAATGAATGCACATTCTCACCCTGACATTTGTATCCAGCTTTCTATGAGTAAAATATACAAATTAATACTCTACTAAATGCAGGGTCATTTACGTACAATGCTACAAGATGGTAGGCTTTGGAAAGAATAGAAATTCAACCTTTACCTAAATTTGCAACTGTATCTTCACTCAAAAATTTTTCCAAAATTGTATCGATGTGGACATTCCAAAGCAAAAACAGGCAGTTGGGAAATTTTTTTGAAATCAAACTTTGTATGATTTTGAAAACCCAATAATACTGAATGGATCATAATATTTTTAAGTCACATTTGCTTTGATTCAATTTTGTTTTAATATTTTATTATGTGATTTAAGTTTCTGCTAATGAACAAACAGAACTATTAAATTCAAATGTATATAAATTTGGAAATGCACAGGTTTTCAATATAAGCGGCTGATCATTACTGAAAGAATTTTATATTTAACCAAACTTGAAAACCTTGATGTTAAAAGTTCTTGACAAATACGGAAAGTAATTGCCACAACAGAAGCTAGAATCAAGAAGTTAGGTGTTTTTCCAAGATAAATAAAAATCATCAGATGAGTCACAACTCATTTACCCACTTGGCACTCCTTTTGTCTAGCCCTCACTGAAAAATCAAATTTTCTTACCGAATTCTGTGACGTTGTTTGAATATCTGCCCAAATCTCATGTTGAATTGTAATCCCCAATGCTGGAGATGGGGCCTAGTGGGCAGTGTTAGGGTCATGGGAGTAGATCCCTCATGGCTTGGTGAGATCCCTCATGGCTTGTAAGAACATCCCTCATGATGAGTGAGTTCTTACAAGATCAGGTCATCTAAAAGCATGTGGCACTTCCCCCTCCCAACCCCAATCTCTCTCACGTTCTCCTGCTTTTGCTATGCGATGTGCCTGCTCTCTCTTTACCTTCCGCCATGATTATAAGCTTCCTGAGGCCTTCCCAAAAGCTGAGCAGATGTCAGCACCATGATTCCTGTACAGCCTGCACAACCGTGAGCCAATGAAACTTATTTTCTCTAAAAATTACCCAGTCTCTGGTATTTCTTTATAGCAATGCAAGAATGGACTAATACAGTCTGTTTGAAGAGAATTCAAGAAAAACAAAAACAGTGGTGGAAAAAAGAATCTTCTATGGATGTACACAAAAAGGGACAAAATGGGACCTGGTAATACATAATGAAGGTAGTTGAGGAGTTTTACAACTGTACCTTAATCTTGTCAAATTGCAAAATGAGTTTAAATAATGAAATGTTTCTATACTTTTACTTGTATTAAAAAATAAGTGAATATACCATGATAAGAGAAATGAGCCATCAAGAGAAGTGAAATATTTTATTCTGAGATAGATTGAGAAAATATATAGCAATCAATCAACATGTCATAAGTGAAGAAATTAGCTTACATTTTAAAAAGGTACACTTTAAAATGTAGCGATAAGTATAATTAGATTGTTTGCAACACAAAGGATTGAGGGGATGGATATCCCATTCTCCATTATGTGATTATTATGCACTACATGCCCATATCAAAATATCTCATGTACTCCATAAACAGATATAATTATGTACCAACAAAAAATAAAAATAAAAAAATAAAAGTCGGCATAAAATAAAAATCGCTGTGTCTTTCATATATTTTTTAAAGCGTTAACATCTAATGAATGAAATCCTCCTTGTTAAAAAGTATGTTTTTTTCTCTCATACAGTTATTGATCAAAACATCAAAGACATTAAGGAATAGCAAACTGCCTAGTACAGTCACAAATAATTAATGCCTTCATGTCTGTCATATTACTTGATGCTGTAGATTACCTTCTGTGAACACTGCATACCATTCACACAACAGTTCTCACAAAGATTTGGCCCAGGGACATGCATGATAATGTTTGGCATTGCTTGGGCCTTCTCTGTTAAATATAATAAACTCCTGCTAATTTTTCTTCAATGCTTGGGCCTTCTTTCTTACTACAATACACACCTGATAATCTGCCAACATGAAGAAATTAAGTAGAAGCTTAATTTCCTAGCCTAATTTTACATAACAGTGTAACTACCTAGCTACAGAATTCCAAAATAAAGACATAAAAAGTGAAATTCAACCAGGTATTCCTTACCACAATTACAGCCTGGATGGTTCCTCCTGTCAAACTATCTGTAAAAGCCACCAATAATTTAAAAAACAAAGCTCCATTTCCTTTTCTTTTCCTAACTATGCTCTAATTAAAGTTCTAGCTACCTAGCATACTGCCTTGTATACAGAAGAATGAAAAAAAGAAGGAAGAAAAGAAATGTTACAAACATCCCCTAAATTATTGAGGATTACCTTTCTTTTTTTTACAACTGGACATTATTTTGTTTGGACATATCCTAAGACTTACCCTGGATAAATCTGAAGCACCCATTAAATTTATCAAAGAAACCACAATAATATGTGTTAGCTTTACATATTTAACCATGTGGAACTAATCAGGCAAGATTTGTCTAGATCTTACTACAGGAAATAATAGCCTATAATTTCATTGATGAGGGTTGACGTTATTTCTTCTCCCAATTTTATTTTTATACTTAACAGACACTTTTTGTATCATCTTTGTAGCATTTTACACATGCTCATTCTACATGTCAGAGATTGTTCCAAAAACTTTTAAAAACTAAACTCTTTAATTATTAAAATAACACTAGAGGTAGATACTATTGTTATCACCATCCCCATTTTACAGATTAGGAAACTGAAACACAGTTTAATCAAATTGTCCAAGACCACATAGCTAGCAAGTGATGAATCTAGGGTTATAAACTGAAGAGTCTGGGTCCATAGTCCATGTATTTAACGACCACGCAATGCTTCTTCTACATATGATTTTACTGATTGTCTCCAATTCTCCAGTGGCCGAATTGTGTCCTGTAGTCTTAATAGATTCATTTTCACAATGTGATTCACATCCACAAGCACAGCTTTTAACTAATATACAACTCATCTGCCTATGCAAGTGTAAAATTCTGTAAATCTAAACCTAAAACTCCACAAACATGGAATTTCATAGATGAAGTTCTTTAGATAGATACAGTAATAAATCCACAGGCTGGAGTCAAGCCAAACCTGCCTTATACCAAATTCCTGTCTATAAAGGAGATGCATCATTTGAGTCTCCAATGCATAGTGTCACATGTAAGTCTGGCCCAACAACCAAAATTTCTGTTAATCAATATATCTGCCTAGGACATTTGAAACACCTCAGTGTTCTTCCAACCTTCAAGATATTTCTTCGCATTTCTGGTCCTTCCTATTGTTATCAACGTGCATTACAGACTATGGAGGGAACTACATAACAGCATTTACTAATGGCAGTAACTCTCTTTTGTCAGGATTACTGTCACTCAGTACCAGGGAAAACAGAACCCTGAGCTCATTTGGTGATATTTGTTTGAAATTCTACTCTACAATTTGTTTAAAACAGTAGCAATTAACAATATCATGGGAAAATGCAAATAATCACTGGATTCTGTTTTGTACCTACAAACAAATCAAAGAGAAAACAAACAAAAATCAGCTTCTTTTCTGTTGCTCAAACCATTCCAAGATTCTGATATTCTAAGTTATTCAACATTTAAGCTGACTTTGGGGACTTTGTAGATTTATCTGTTGAAGCGTGTTTCAGTGGCAGCCAGCATGCTGAGCATGCTTGTCAATCCAAATAAAACCAGCAAATAGATTTCTTTTTTATTAAAATGAGTTTTCTCTGGACCTTAAACTTCCTCTTTATTATAAAGTTGTCAATCCAGAAACAACAAATACATTTTTTTACTGAGACTGTAAAAACTCTAACAATATGGAAAGCTCTTCATTAATTCTAATTATCTTGCCCCAATATTATCCTAGAATATATACCATAAATATAATAATTAGTGCTACCTTTACAAATTCAACCTTATGATTTGTTTAAAGAAGAATATAACATCAAATGGATGACTAGTAAAAATTCAAAATAGCCACTGTCTACTTGTGGTACAAATTAGACAACTAGTATTAAGCAAGTAATCTAATTATTCAGAACCTTAAATTTTAAGAGACTGTACAAATGGCCACTGTTATTATTCTAATTACACTGTTATTATATTGCTTTATTATTATTGTTACAATGCTGTGGTGATGTAACATATGATATGGAAGAGCTGAGTCATTCTATGTATGCCATTCGGACACATGCATTTAAAGAATTCTATTTCTAGCACTACACTTCTTATGCCAATCAACACATTCACATCCTATGTCTGATCTTTCATGCTCTCCATCAGATATAAGTCCTCAAAAGCTCACATTATTCTTCTCTATAACTGCTGACTACATATTATGACAAATTTTGTGGTAATTAAGTCCATTTGGACACAGCCTTCTAAGTAAGATACCATTTGTTTCATTTTGCTTTTTTCCCTCTTTAAAAAATTATCTCAAGCATTACACCACCTATTACTTCAACCTTAAATAATTCAATAAAACCAATTCGACTAAATAATAATAATCCCAATTTTCCCAGGCTCACAAAATTTATGTAAGGCTGGCTATGCACTTTTAAGTCATATAAACCATCAAGAGAGAGATGCAAATTTGCTTTTTGCAGCTCCTGGTCTCTCTTTGGAGAAACTATAAACCCATAAAAAAATCACTACACATGATTACCATGCCTAGATTATTCACTCTCAAGCCTAAAGAGATGAAATTTACTTAATAAAATCAATAAATAAAATACAAAACTTCAAGTCAGCAAACTATAGCATTTAGTCACTCACAACAGAATTAATGCTTAGAAGGGGACATGCACAGTGGTTACAACTTTGAATAGGACTACAAGCTAAGGTTTTTAGGTAACAAAAAACATGTCATCGTCTCACCAATTTTATAATACTTCAGCATCTTACAAAATGACTCTGCATGCCTCTTATTACTATTGTTTAAAACAGGGGGATAGGTTTGAGTTACGTGAGCACACTGCATCTTTTGTGTAGCAAGGAGAGAAGAATGCTTTTTGGGATCCTTAATTATCCTTCCATGCTTCATTGTTAGAGAAGGTGAATTAAGAAAAGATAATCACTCAACCAAAAATGACCAGTACGATAATAGGCATTTTCAACTGGCTGTAGGAAATGGCCTTATGGCTAAGACCTTCATGGTCAGTTTCTTCTATAAAGCCAGTGCCTACGTTGTACCCACAGGAGAATTGCCAGATTTAGATATAATTCAGTTAAAACAATTTGGAAACGCATTGTCACGTAGAAAGACATACCATGTCGGTAACACATCTAATTTTAAATTTTCTAGTAGCTAACATTCTTAAAAGTATAATTAATCAGCTAAGTTAATTTTAATAGTTTAACCCCATACATCCAAAATATTATAATTTCAACATATAATCAACATTAAAAATTATTAATGAGTTATTTAACATTTTCCATACTATCTTTGAAACTTAGTGTGTATTTTACACTCACAGCACATCTCAATTTTGTCTAGCCATATTTCAAAATCTCAATAGCTACATGCACCTAGTGCCTATCATGTTAAATACCTCAGGTTTAAAGCTTCACAATACAAGACTGTAATACAAGCTATAAAGTATATTACAAAGTACAAAATAATAGAAACTATAAAAAGAAGTTTAAGAATGCCAGATAAGTTTGCCTAAACTTGTTCAAACCATGCCACAATATTATATCAATTGCACAGAATTTGTCACTGGACTTCACTGAAATCAGATGGATTCCATAAAAGTCTGTGTGAAAATATTCCACATTTTGTTCCAGTGCTGAAACAGAAAATTCACATTTTCCACTCCAGAAGTTATTTCACTTTGTATGATTTATCTCTATAAAATTCTAAAAGTTCTATGTTTCAGAAAAGAAATGGAATCATTTAATGCACTTTAGGCCAGGCGCGGTGGCTCATGCCTGTACTCCTGGCACTTTGGGAGGCTGAGGCAGGCAGATTGCTTGAGGCCAGGACTTCAAGAACAGCCTGGCCAACATGGCAAAACCTCATCTCTACTAAAAATACAAAAACTAGCTGGGTGTCCTGGTGCACACACCCGTAATCCCAGCTACTCGGGAGGCTAAGGCAACAGAATGACTTGAACCTGGGAGGCGGAGGTTGCAGTGAGCCGAGATCGCACCACTGCACTCCAGCCTGGGTGACAGACCCAGACGGTCTCAAGAAAAAAAAGAAAAGAAAAGAAAAGAAAAGAAAAGAAAAGAAATGCACTCTAGAAAAGTCATTTTATTAACAACAATATGTTTTATTTGAATTATAGTATTAACGGTGACAACTTCTTCATCCTCCCAAACACCTGCGGGTTACATTTGGAATCAGTGTTTATTTCAATGCCCCAAGTGCTTTTCTTTTCCCATATCAAAATCAGATATGTTCATTTCAATCTTGATAAACACAATTTATAAAAAGTATGGGGTAAAATGCAACTGGGAGAAGAAAAAAATAATAGGACCCAGTGAAAGTGAATTCACAGAAAGGGATTCTTCACTCTATATAACTTTGTTAAGATTCCAATTTTTTTTTTTCTCAGAAAAGAATATAAATGTCTCCTCTGCATTTTCCGAAGCCCACAGGCTCTATAATTTTATAAAGGACAAATTCAGAGAATACCTAAGCTGCCCTTTATACACTCAACAACCTGTACAGTATATGCCAGGCCATGCACCATTTTAGATGCTGATACAATGAAGAGCAGGGTAGATCTGGTCGTGAATTAATGGAGCCTATAGCTACATGCTGGGCTTTTAAGTCTCCAATTTACCCTTCATTTGCCTAAAAAGAGAGAATTAAATCGTGTATATACAATTTTATTGCAGTTAAGTCCTTTGTTACTGAACTTTACTGCTTAGTATTATCTTCAAATTATAAAATACCCTATGAAAAATAACAAGCTTAAGGATGAGCTCCCATAATACTAAGTAAAGTTTCAGACAAATCCAGGCCATTAAAGAGTTTGAAATTTTTTTTTTTTTCAAAAAACCTAGTGAATCGAAACTTAGGAATGGGAATTTAAATAACATATGGTATAGTCTTGTCTGGCGTTAAAATTTCATATCAACTAATATGCTAAGATATTTAAAAAAATTTCTAAGTAACTAAAGAGGAAAATGGTAAGATAGCCTTTCACCTCTAAGGCCACTCATTTGAATGTTTTTCAGTTCTAATAATAGACATTTTCAGTTGTCTGCAGGAATTCTATTTGTAGAATTAGATCAGCCCTTAAACCCAAAACATCATAATAGTAATTAGTCATCCGTCTGAAGCAGATGACAATCAAAGAGGCATTAGCATGGTGGCTTTTGTAAAAATAAAAACCAAAGCAGCACTTTAACACCTGTATTCAGTAACTTATGGGAATATATGTCAGTATAAATTATTATAAATTTAATAATCTGTATTTATGCTCATCCCTTTAATTGAATTTTTACTGACATTTTTGAATGAATATGTACAATATTAATTTCAAAGGCTACTATTTAATCTTAACTTTTTTATCATTATTTGGTATATCATACAGCATGTTCACATTATATTTAAGTTACTACCTTATTAATTTGTAAATTTTGTAATATAAGATTTAACTGATCTATTTAACCTATTTTCCTAATTTTGTGCATCCTCTAAATTCAGCAATCTACTTTAGTTAGTATAAATTCCATTAGAATTTTTAAATAGGACAGGTAGTCTAACTTTTAAGTATTCCACACACTTCCATTTAAGTGAGCTGAAATTTGAATAACAATCCACGCTTTTTCATTACTCAACCAAAAAAGTGTTCAAGGTCAATTTCTGAAATTAAAGAACTACTTACACTACCTCAATCTTTTGCTTTCTAAAATAATCCTTCAGCCATCAACCTTTCTGAGAGTAGAGCTAAGAGACTAAAGTCAAAATGTAAACATAAACATTTCCTTTTACTGTCAGCTAGGTCATTTGATTCATATTTCTTTGACTTTAGTTGTTTTATTTCCATTTTTTGAACAAAGTTGACAAATAATGGTAGCTGCTTTTTACAGATTATATATTTAAGGCTTTTCATTTATATTTAATTTACCATTATTTCATGAAAACTTTGGTTAAAAGAATTCTTTTTCTAAACAAATTGTTCTTAGGGATGTAGAATCAGCTCTAGTTTCAGCAAAGAATACCTAAAGTTTAGAGCATTTCCAAGTAATAAGGAGCCATAGTCTCTAAACCAGCGGAAATACTTCCGAGATTGCGGAACAACTTTCATTTCTAACATTTATAGTCCCAGAATGGACTTCTTTTTTCCACAGACAATTCACTACACGCTCAGAACAAATTTATTTCATAGAAATAAATCACTGATAAGAAAAAGTGGTAAAAATCTTTCCCTCGAGTGGGGGAACTAATCCTCAACAATTTTCTATTCATCAGATCCTCAAATTCTTAATTTATAAAAAATTTTCCACAATTTCCAGCATTACTTCTGGAAAAAATCTAAAAACCCCATCTCTCAAACATACAACAATGCTTTGTGACCCAATTAAGAGGTATGATCCATGTCCAACGTACCACCAATCCTAGACTTCAATCTACAGCACAGCCTGTCTTTATAGATAAAGGGCAGTCTGGCTCAGGTAGGAGTAAATTGCTCTTGTAAGCTATTACATGTAACAAAGAGCTCCTATCATCCGGACTGACTCCTTTTGAATGATATAAGTGGAGTCATTAGGCAAGAGAAATAACAAAAAGAAAACTGACAAAAAAGGATGTATTCTAAATACTTTAATGGTGTTTCTGCATTTTGCCTGATAGGCACTTTCTAAATGAAATATATTAAAAAAGCAAATACACCAGCTTTTCTAGAGGGTTTTAATTGGATTTAATGTGTCCTTATGAAATGTTTTTACTAGTTCCTTATTAACATATTTCTGGTTATTGTTCATTTTTAAATTCCACTTGGTGAATAAAGGCAAATGGAAATACTCAAAATGCAGACTATCTTGGGAGATTCTATAACTTGCCTCTTTGGGGTTAGACTGAGGAATGAGTGTAGGACTTAGAGTACAATTCTAGTAAGCATGATAAATTGAAATATTGAAACTATGATGATGGGAAATTATCCTCTCTCTGCAAAGAAAAGCTGGAGGCAGACCAGGAAATAAAGGTACAATTTATTTTTACTCTGCACATAAGCACCTAGAAATGGGAAAAAGTATATCGCTGTATAAGTTTAGCAAAATTGTTTAGGGTTAAGAATATATTACATTAGAAAGTTACCTAATGAATCTTCTACAATAACTTTCTTTGGTAATTGTAGCTTTAAAGAAATTTTTTGATGATTAAAAAGATGTTTTTAGAGTAACATCATAGATGACACAGCCAAATCAAGTCTCAGAAATAGTATGTTCTTAAGTAGAGAAAGGAAGCAAATCAGAGGTGAAGGAAACAGCTATAGCTACCAAAGAAGAGAGAGGACACACATGGAGTGGGGAAAAGATTTGATAGGTGTGCACGTATGTAGCACACACACATAATGTTACCCCATCAACAGAAGGAAATTGCAGCAGTGACAACTTTAATACTATGATAAACATTCTTTTGCCTAGCTAACTTTATGTGTACACAAAGTCCATATAGGGAAGAGGAAAGAGCAGCTCCATGCTCACCATTCAATTTTGTGGCTACAATATTTATCATTTAAAAACTGAAGAATCTTTACATAATTGTTCCAATATATGAGTCTTCTAAGCATGCGGTTTCAGTAATGCAAACATTTCCTTCTTTCAAGTTAATTTTTCATCCTAAAGGAGTCTACTACCTGCTCATTGCAGGTCTCATAATTTCCAACTTATTTTTCTACTACGAGGCACACTTGTTCTTCTACTACTTATCACTACTAAACATAGTTATTTGATGTTGCCCGGGGAGCTGTCCTCCTAGCCCATCTGAGTAATACTGTACCTCAAATCTCACCTAACCCTAGTTCATCATTTCACTTAATAATCTGTGCTTCATAGGTCTTCACTATAACTCAGAGTAAGTAAAGCTGATCCTTTTGCCCTACACCCTTAAATATAATAAAGGTTAGAGCAGAAATAAGTGAAATTGAAATGAAGAAAACAGTACAAAAAATCCATGAAACAAAAAGTTGGTTTTTTGAAGTTAAACAAAATTGGCAAAGCTTTATCCAGACTAATTTAAAAAAAGAGAGAAGATCCAAATAAATAAAATCAGAAATCAAAAAGGAGACATAACAAATGATACCACAGAAACTCAAAGGATCATTAGTGGCTGTTATGAGCAATTATATGTCAATAAATTAGAAAATCTAGAAGAAATAGACAAATTCCCTAGACACATGCAACCTACCAAGATCGAGCCAGGAAGAAATCCAAAACCTGAACAGACCAATAATAAGTAATGAGACTGAAGTCATAATAAAAAGTCTTCTAGTAAAGAAAATGCAGGGACCTGATGGCTTCACTGCTGAATTCTACCAAACATTTATAGAAGAACTAATACCGATACCATTCAAACTTTTCCAAAAAAACAGGAGAAGAAGGAATACTTCCAAACTCATTCTATGAGACTAGTATCACCCTGATACTAAAACCAGATAAAGACACACACACAAAAAAAGAGAAATATAGGCCAACATCTCTGGTGAATCGTGATGCAAAAATCCTAAACAAAATGCTAGCAAATCAAATTAAGCAATACATTAGAAAGATTATTCATCATGACCAAGTGGGCTCTATCCCTGGGGTACAAGGACAATTCAACATATGCAAATCAATTAATGTGATACATGGTATCAACAGAATGAAAAATAAAACCATATGATCATTTCCACAGATCCTGAAAAAGCATTTAATAAAATTCGACATTCTTTCCTGATAAAAACCCTGAAAAACTTGTTTTAGAAGTAACATGCCTCGTAATGAAAGCCATATAAGCAGACCTACAGCAAGTGTCATACTAACTGGGGAAAAACCGAAAGCCTTTTCTCGAAGCTCTGGAACAAAACAAGGATGTTCACTGTCATCACTGTTATTCAACATAGTACTGGAAGTCCTGGCTAGAGCAATCATACAAGAGAAAGATATAAAGGGCATCAAAATTGAAAAGGAAGAAGTTAAAGTATTCTTGTTTGCAAATGATGTGATATTATATTTGGAAAAACCTAAAGACTACAAAAGAAAACTATTTGAACTGATTTAAAAAATTCAGTAAGTTGGCAGGATACAGCCTCAACATTCAAAACTCAGTAGCATTTTTATATGCCAACAGTGAACAATGTGAAAAAAATAAAAAAGTAATCTCATTTACAATACCCACACATAAATTTAAATAGCTAGAAATTAACTGAAGAAGTAAATGATCTCCATAATGTAAACTGCAAAACACTGATTAAAAAAATTGAGAAGGACATCAAAAAATAGAAAAAAATATTTCATTTTCATGGATTGGAAGAATCAATATTGTTAAAATGTCCATAGTACACAAAGCAATCTACAGGTTCACTGAAATCCCTATCAAAATACCAATGACATTCTTCACAGAAATAGAAAAACATCCTAAAACGTATGTAGAATGACAAAAGATCCAGAATAGCCAAAGTTTTCCTAAGCAAAAAGAAAAAAAAACTGGAGGAATCACATTACCTGACTGCAAACTATACTACAGAGCTATAGGAACCAAAACAAGATGGTACTGGCATAAAAACTGACATATATAGTAATGGAACAGAACTGAGAACCCAGAAACAAATCCACACACCTACAGTGAACTCATTTTTGACAAAGATGCCAACAGTATACACTGGGGTAAAGATGGTTTCTTCAATAAATAGTGCTAGGAAAACTGGACATTCATATGCAGAAGAATGAACCTAGACCCTATTTCTGATTTGACCCCTATCTCTGATCTTTGATTTGATACAAAAATCAAATCAAAATGGATTGAAGACCTAAATCTAAGACCTGAAGCTATGAAACTACTACAAGAAAACATTGGGAAAAGTCTCCAG
This sequence comes from Homo sapiens, assembly GCF_000001405.40. Lineage (NCBI taxonomy): Eukaryota > Metazoa > Chordata > Mammalia > Primates > Hominidae > Homo > Homo sapiens. The sequence goes on along the minus strand of NC_000023.11, from coordinate 86,423,745 downwards.
GACTTTGGTTTGGGCAAAACTTTCTTGAGCAAAACCTCACAAGTGCAAGCAACCAGAGGAAAAATAGACACATGAAATCACATCAAGTTAAAAAGCTTCTGCATAGTAAAGGAAACAATCAATGAAGACACAACTCACAGAATGGGAGAAAATATCTGCAAACTACCCATCTGAAAAGGGTAGAATATATAAGGAGCTCAAACAAGTCTATAGAAAAAAAAAAATCTAATTATCTGATTTAAAAAGGGCCAAAGGTTCGAAAAGACACTTCTCAAAAGAAGACATAAAAAGGGCAAACAGGCATATGAAAAGGTGAAAAACATCACTGATCATCAGAGAAATGCAAATCAAAAACTACAATGAGATATTGTCTCACCCCAGTTAAAATGGCTTATATCCAAAAGACAGGCAATAAAAAATGGTGGTCAGGATGTGGAGTAAAGGAAAGCCTCCTAGACTATTAGTGGGAGTGTAAATTAGTACAACCACTGTGGAGAACAGTTTGGAGGTTCCTCAAAACTACAGATTGAGCTACCATATTATTCCGCAATCTCCCTGCTGGCTATATACCCAAAAGAAATGAAATCAGTATATTGAAGAGATATTTGCACTCCTGTGTTTGTTGCAGCACTGTTTACAGTAGCTAAGATTTGGATACAATCTAAGCATCCAAAAATAGATGAATGGATATAGAAAATGTGGTACATATGCACAATGCAGTACTTTTCAGCCATAAAAAGAATGAGATCCAGTCATTTGCAACAACATGGATGGAACTGGAGAATATTATGCTAAATGAAATAAGTCAGGCACAGAAAGACAAACATCACCTGTTCTCACTTATTTGTAGGGTCTTAAAATCAAAACAATTGAACTCATGGAGATGGAGAGTAGAAGGATGATTACCAGAGGCTGGAAAAGATAGTGGTGGACTTTGGGGGAGGTGGGGATGGTTAATGGATGCAAAAAATAGAATAAATGAATAAGACCTAGTATTTGATAGCACAACAGGGAGACTAGAGTCAATCATAACTTATTGTACATTTTAAAATAACTCAAAGAGTGTAATTGGATTGTAACTCAAATGGTAAATGCTTGAGAGAATAGATAACCCATTATCCATGATGTGCTTATTTCACATCGCATGCCTGTATCAAAACATTCCATGTTCCCAATAAATATATACACCTACTATCATCAACCCACAAAAAAATTTTTTAAAAACACTTGAAAAACCATTCATACTAAGACTCAAAAGTGTGATTTTCATGTATGAGAGACAGCCAATTATAGGGTAAACTTTCCTCACAAGTATCACAAAAGGTTCCAAAATTGGCAATGCTATTATCAACTGTCAACTTCCTCTAGAAAAGGAAGGAAAACTATAGACAAAGTAAGTAAATAATGGAATTAGAATATAAAACAAACCAAGGACAAAATAGTCTTTTGAAACTATCCTGTCAGTTGATTCAGAAAAAAAAGATCAAATAGAAACTTGGATCTGCACCTTTTTTTCCCTGTAGAATATTTATTCAACTCATTTCATCATGCACACTATATATGTCAGCTCCCTTCTGTTCTGCGCTAACTTAAAAAAAATGGCTCTTAGTTGTAAGGATGTCACATCTTTAAATACCAAGAAACAATGAACTATATTTACACATTGAGATTTTTTTCCCTCAATTTTCACTGAGTAGTTCCTACATACAAGTTATTGGCATAAGTTTAAATTTTTCAGCTGTATTCTGGCCCATTGCCTCAACTCTCCTCAGATGGCTTCTCTCACTTGGTGTATTACATTAAACTGTGAAGCTATTTACATAGCTGCAAGGTCAATGGTAAGAATTTAACTATTATAAATGTTATCCTGTATGACTAAGCAGGTCTTGTTGCCAATACAAATGGTTGGAAAAAACAAAATATGCATAATTCTTCCATATACCTAAGAAGTTTCTCCCTCCAGCTAACAGATAAGTAGCATTCCAACAATATAATCATTTTTATAATAGAAGTAGATTTAACAAAGGAAACCAATACCAATATATTCATACTACAAAAGGTTTTTAAAATTAATGTAGAAATTAGTTATATAAATCAATATTCTATGGAAAAATTCCCACTAGCTAAACCTCACTTTAAAATAATAACTTCATTTGTTGGGGATTTGGATTTATCTTTAAGGAGATGAAAAAGGCAAAGAAAATTTTTCTACCAAGTTCTCTTCCAAAAACCGTGTTTGCTCTTGTTTTTGCCATTCCCATTCTACACTTAGTCAAATCAATCACCCTTCAAGGTACCACTCAAATGAGTTGCCTTAAATCTTCTGCCAGTCATTGATAATACTGGCATCACTGATCTGTCACTCTTAAAAGACCTACCTCTTTACTTAACACCACCAAACTCCTAGGGCTGCTTTAAAAATCAAATGAGATAACATGAGTTAAACCACTCATTAAATTATGAAGCACTATATGGTTGTTAACTATTGATGTGAGCACTCAAAAATACTTGCTGGATGCATAAATGAAAGCATCTGCCATGAAATATTTTCTTAATTTTCAAGTTCTATAAAGAGGTGCCATAAAGCTTACATTTATAATTTATAATTTACTTATTCTGAAAATCCGTGTACACGTGTATATTAAAAGTATTGTGTGCTTTTGTGCATGACAAATGGGGAGAAAAGTCTTGAAGAGAAACATATTTTCTGCTTGAATAAGTGGATGAAAATTAGCCTTCTACCATCAGTTCCTGAAAACTCTTTCATAATATATATTTATATTTTTCTTTGGGCTTGATTTATTATGTTGAAAGTCATTTAAAAACCATTTAAGGGTACAATCTACCAAGCTTCTTTAAAAATGTTCAAAATGTTCTAAAAGTGATAAAGTAAAAAATGACCAAAATCATTGACATCTAAGAGACAAAATTCATAGGCTCAAAACCTTTATTAATTCATGTCTCAGTGAAGCAAATAACTTTAAACGTTTACAATTTCTTGTGTTCTTTAAATGTTACATAAAAGTAAATGAAGTATATTATTATTATTAACTTCTGACATTAAGCAATATACTTTAGATGCATGTGAATATAATTAAGGGTTACACAGAGGGTCAATTTTCTGTAATGTAATTATACCGTAAAAGTAAGCCGCTGGGAAAATATGACAGGTTCGGTTTTTTATTCATATAAATGTGTTCTGTTACAAAAAGAAAACTGTTTGGCCACAAGTACATGCACAGTACCTATGATATTATTAGACAAGGCATAAACTCCATGGAATATTTTAACAAAGCCCTCTCTAAAGATGCAAATTCATAATTATGTAAGGAAAAGAAAGTGTGCATGTTCATGTCTGTCACAAAAATTTATTAACAGTCTGCCTCCTCATTTATGCATCACAAGACAATAAAGTCATCAGTGATTATTTCTGGCCAAAAGAAAAATATCTTTTTCAGGAACCTAGAGCATAATAAAATATAGAACATACAAAGTGCAGTTACTTATTTATCTGGCATTATGGCACTGGCACTGTACCTTCACCAGCATGCCTTCCCATAATTGAGGTATATATGATTGACTAGCCACTTTGCTTTATTCCTTAACTGTTTTTGTTCTCTATGAGGATCCGAAGCCAACAGAAAAACTGTATGAGTAGGGATGTTCACTGCAGGTGAGAATGCTATTTATTAAGTAGTGGTTTGTGTCAGTTCTCATCTAATCTTCACAATAACGCTTCAACGTGCATACTAGTTTAATTTTTTTATCTGAGCATACTGAGCTCACAGAGTTTGAGAAACTTTCCCCAGGTCACAATAGCTAGAAGAAATAGTGCATGAATTTGAACCAAGATATCTCCGATGCCAACAATTCCACCCTTTCTATTGGACCATGCTACCTCCTGAAGCTAGGCATCATCTGTATGGTCTTATGGCATCCTCACCTCAATTCAAGGATCAGGACATTACCTACAAAAGTGACTACTTTGTGGTGTTATCATTCCACATAATTTTCTGAGATAATCCCCTCACAACAGCAACATTCTCATGAAATTCACATTCTACATCACAAAAGCTAACCATGAGAAAGTAGCCTTTTGATATGGTTTGGCTGTGTCCACACCCAAATCTCATCTTGAATTGTAACTCCCACAATTCCCACATGTCATGGAAGGAATCCAGAGGGAGGTGACTGAATTATGAGGGTGGGTCTTTACTGCACTGTTCTTATGATAGTGAATGAGTCTCACGAGATCTGATGGTTTTAAAAATGGAGAGTTTCCCTGAGCAAGCTCTCTTGCTTTTTGCCTGTGGCCACACATGTAAGATGTGACTTGTTGTGCCTTGCCTTCTGCCATGATTGTGAGGTCTCCCAGGCATGTGGAACTGTAAGTCCAATAAACCTCTTTCTTTTGCAAATATCCCAGTCTCGGGTATGTCTTTAACGGCAGCATGAAAATGGACTAATACAGTAAATTCGTACCAGTAGAGTTGGGCGTTGCTGAAAAAATGCCCAAAAATGTGGAAAAGACTTTGGAACTGGGTAATAGGCAGAGGTGGGGACAGTTTGGAGGGCTCAGAAGAAGACAAGAAAATGTGGGAAAGTTTGGAACTTCCTAGAGACTTCCTGAATGGCTTTGACCAAAATGCTGATAATGATATGAACAAGGAAATCCAGGCTGAGGTGGACTCAGATGAAGATAAAAAAATTGCTGGGAACTGGAGCAAAGGCAACCCTTGTTATGTTTTAGCAAAGAGACTGGAGGCATTTGGGCCCTGCCCTAGAGACTTGTGGAACTTTGAACTTGAGGGTATCTGGCAGAAGAAATCTCTAAGCAGCAAAGCATTCAAGGGGTGACTTGGGCGCTGTTAATGACATTCAGTTTTATAAGGGAAGCAGAGCACAGAAGTTTGGAGAACATGCAGTCTGTCAATGTGATAGAAAAGAAAACCCTAATTTTTAAGGAGAAATTCAAGCACAAGTAATGAGGAGCCAAATGTTAATCCCCGAGACAGTGGGGAAAATGTCTCCAGGGCATGTCAGAGGTTTTCACAGCAGCACCTCCCATCGCAGACCAAGAGGCCTTGGAAAATAAGTGGTTTTGTGGGCCAGGCCCAGGGTCCACGTGCTGTGTGCAGCCTACAGACTTGGTGTCCTGCATCTCAGCTGCCCTGAGTATGGCTGAAATGGGCCAACATAGAGCTGGGACCATGGCTTCAGAGGGTGCAAGCCTCAAGCCTTGGCAGCTTCCATGTCATGTTGAGCCTGCAAGTGCACAGAAGTCAAAAATTAAGGTTTGAAAACCTCCGCCTAGATTTCAGAGGATGTATGGAAACACCTGGATTTCCAGGCAGAAGTTTGCTGCAGGGAAAGGGTTCTCATGGAGAACTTCTGCTAGGGCAGTGAAAAAGGGAACTGTGGGGTCAGAGACCTCACACAGAGTCCCTGCTGGGGCACCACCTAGTGGAGCTGTGAGAAGAGGGCCACTCTCCTCCAGACCCCAGAATGGTAGATCCACTGACAGCTTACATTGTGCGCCTGGAAAATCCCCAGACACTCAATGCTAGCCTGTGAAAGCAGCTGGGAGAAGGCTGTACCCTGCAAAGCCACAGGGGTGGAGCTGTCCAAGACCATGGGCACCCACCTTTTGCATCAGTGTGACCTGGATGTGAGACATGGAGTCAAATGAGATAATTTTGGAGTTTTAAGATTTGACTGCCCTGCTAGATGTTGGACTTGCATGGAGCCTAGAGTCCCTTTGTTTTGGCCAATTTCTCCCATTTGGAATGGCTGTATTTACCCATGCCTTTACCCCCATTGTATCTAGGAAGTAACTAACTTGCTTTTGATTTTTATGGGCTCATAAGCAGAAGGTACTTGCCTTGTCTCAGATGAGACATTGAACTATGGACATTTAAATGAGAATTAACTCATTTAATTCTGAAATGAGTTAAGACTTTGGGTGACTGTTGGGAAGACATGATTGGTATTGAAATGTGAGGACATGATATTTGGGAGGGACCAGGTGTGGAATTATATGGTTTGGATGTGTCCCCACCCAAATCTCACCTTGAATTGTAACTCCCACCATTCCCACATGATATGGGAGGAATCTGGTGGGACATGACTGAATTATGGGGGTGGGTCTTTCCTGCACTGTTCTCATTATAGTGAATGAGTCTCATGAGATCTGATGGTTTTAAAAACAGAAACAGGAGTTTCCCGGCACAAGTTCTCTCTCTTGCCTGCTGCCATCCATGTAGGATGTGACTTGCTCCTCCTTGTCTTCTGCCATTATTGTGAGGTCTCCTCAGCCCTGTGGCCCTGTAAGTCTAATAAATCTCTTTCTTTTGTAAATTGACCCATCTCAGGTATGTCTTTATTGGCAGCATGAAAATTGACTAATATACTTTAAAACAATTTAGTAAATCTAGAGCTCTTCAATATAGTTTGGATATTTGTCTTCTCCAAATCTCACATTGAAATTTGATCCCCAATATTGGAAGTTGAGCCAGATGGGAGATGTTTGGGTCATGGGGTCAGATTCCTCATGAAAGGCTTGATACTTTCCTCACAGTAATGGAGTGTCTTCTTGATCTATTAGTGTATGGGAGATCTGACTGTGGTTTCTTTTTTTTTTTTTTTTTTTTTTTTTTGAGATGGAGTCTCTGTTGAACAGGCTGGAGTGCAGTGGCATGATCTCGACTCACTGCAACCTCCACCTCCCAGGTTCAAGGGATTCTCCTGCTTCAGACTCCTGAGTAGCTGGGACTACAGGTGTCCACGACCACACTTGGCTAATTTTTGCATTTTTAGTAGTGACGGGGTTTCGCCATATTGGCCAGGCTCGAAATCCTGACCTCAGGTGATCCACCCACCTTGGGCTTTCAAAGTTCTGGGATTACAGACGTGAGCCACCACACCAGGCCAAGACCTGATTGACTGTTAAAACGTCCCTGGCAATTCCCTCCCCTCTCTCTCTTGCTCCCTCTCTTGCCATGTGATGTCTGCTCCCCTTTGCCTTCTGCCACGAATGAAAGCTTCCTGAAGCCCTCAACAGAAGCCGATGCTGGCACCACACTTCTTATACAGCTTGCAGAACTGTGAGCCAAATAAATCCCTTTTCTCAAGTATTCCTTTCTAGCAATGCAAAATGGACTAAGACACTCTTCACTCTCATCTTGCTGATGAACAGACATTTCTGCATCTTTTGCTACTCTCATAAACAGAAATGCAGTTTAAAGGCACTCAAGTGTCTGTTAAGTAACAGCAAGATCATTTATAATAAATGTGTGTGCCCACACACACATACACCTTGAATATTTTTTAAAATACTGTATATCAACTGCAATGAGAAACACATAGAATATAGACATCTATGCAATAAATCCCACTTAAGATAGTAGAACTAGAGGATAAGTGACTTGAATCCATTCACTGTGAGAGTCCATTGTATAAGTTGTATTCTTCCCACCCAACCCAGTCAAGCTCTCTGGAATTTACACTGACCACTCATTTCTTCAAACAAATACACAGTCACATTTCTGTTCATCACTCTATGGCTTTAATTTCAGATACAAAAGAAGAGTTTTCTGCATATACAATTGTGTAAAATCCCTAAACATATATTTTTCAGTTTTCCACATTTTCTTGATTTTTCTCCAATTCCCAGTTATAATTCTCATTTTGGTCCCCTACCTCTTTCTCAATATAAATTAGCAATATGTTGCTTGACTTCAAACCAGAAATCTTATCAGAAGGAGCTTTGATGTCTTGAGAACAAAAAGATAATAAAACCAATGAGTACCTTTTCTTCCTTCCTCTCAGAAACCTAGTGGATTATAGAGGCAGTACTATTTTCTTATATATACACAACATTTTATTAATTTCTCAAAACATGACTCTCCCAGACATCTAACTAACAATTATTTTCTGGTCAAAGAAAATATTGTAATTTCCCTCTTACTGGAAATGCTGCACTACAGCTAAAGTACAGTGAGAGCCATGTATTTTCTCCAGATAAAATGTCGTGATGAGTACAAATCATTTTTATGACTTTTTGTATAATTTTGGGGAAAATCTTCTTTAAAGTATTTCCATATCATTCAGCAAATTGAATTGCAGTACCAAGAATGAAGGGGAGGAAAGATAGTGAATAAAGGAGGACTTAAAGAAAAAGCTACACCAAGGCAAGATAATCTCCTGAATTAAAATAAAAAATTCATTGTGATGGCCTGTTGTTGAAAACTGAGATGTAGGAATAGAATAGAGATGTAGAAGGAAATCACAATTCTTTTCTTTTTCTTATCAAATGAAAAACCAAGGTAAAAGATGATTTGGAATTAGGCAAAATGAAGACAAATGTAACTGGCTTGCTTTCAATAGAGCTATACTCTCCAGTGACTGATGCACACCACAAAAACAATGAAGGAACTGCGTAACTTTGACCAAGTGCTTCTAAAAATTTCTACAGAAATTAGTCCTACGTTGAAAAGAAAGAAAGAAAAGATCCCAGCTACTAGACTGTCAGTCCAAATTGCTTTATGTCTTAGTTTTTTCATCAATTCTGGTCTATTTACTAAGACACAGGTGCTCAGGACATATTGGTAATAAATCTAAACAAGAAGAAGTATATCATCTTCTTGCAGTCTAACACTTGATATGGTTGTCAAAGCCATATAGCTGCATGAAAACATTCACATGTACTGTGACGCTTAATACTGAGTGTCAACTTGATTGGATTGAAGAATACAAAGTATTGATCCTGGATGAGTCTATGAGGCTGCTGCCAAAGAAGGATTAACATTTGAGTCCTATAAGTCCTGTCCCTCTAGGGAACCCTGACTAATAAATATTTTGGTACCGTGAGTGGTTCAAGAGGAGCAGAATTTATGAATTTGGGCCCACTAAGTAGGGACTCTGCTTTTAATGTTGCAGTTGAGGGAGTTTAAAAAAAAGGTTCTAATAGTTTATTTGCTTGGTTAGCTGAAATATGGATTAAAAGATGTCCCACTGTGAGTGAGCTGGAAATGCCTGATCTCGCTTGGTTTAATGTAGAGGAAGGAATCCAAAGGCTTAGGTTGATTGGGATGGTGGAGTAGATTAGTCACTTTAGACCTACTCATTCCAGCTGGGAGGGTCAAAAAGATATACCCTTGACCAATGCCTTGTGAAATAGATTTGTGAGGGCAGCAGCTGAATCTTTGAAGAGCCCTATAATTGCTCTTCTCTGTATGTCAGATCTAACAGTAGGAACCTCAGTCACTCAAATACAAAATTTAAATACAATGGGAATAATTGGATCCCAAGATAGCAGGGACCAACTGGCCACACTCAAATGTCAAGGTAAAGGTAGGCATAGTAACCATAATGGACAGCAGAGGCAAAGTGGAAATCAGAACAGTGTGACTTGTGTAGAGCTCTGGCACTGGCTAATTAATCACCGTGTTCCTAGAAGTGAAATCGATAGGAAGCCTACTGCATTCCTACTTAATTTTTACAAACAGAAAATTTCTAGGTCGAATGGACAAAAGACTGGTTTGAATTATAGAAACAGAGAATCACGGCCCCTCAAACAATTTCCAGACTTGAGCCAGTTAGCCAGTTTACAGACCCAAAACCCCTTGAATGAAAGGGAGGCTGGGTCCCCTTGAGGAAGAATCCCACTACCTTACTGACAATTTTTGCAGTGAACCTTTCTCACATCCTTCTCTAAGGAGACCTCCGACCTTTTACCAGGATAACTGTGCATTGGGAAAAGGGAAGTGATCAGGCATTTTGGACACTGGCTTTGAGCTGACATTGATTCCAGGGGACCCAAAATATCAATGTGATCCTCCAGTTAAAGTAGGTGCTAATGGAGGTCAGATAATTAATGAAGTTTTAGCTCAGGTCCAACTTACAGTGGGTCCAGTAGGTCCCTGGACTCATCCTGTGGTCATTTCCCCAGTGCCAGAATGCATAATTGGCATAGACATACTTCGCAGCTGAAGGAACCCCCCACATTGACTCCCTGACTGGTAGGGTGAGGTCTATGATGGTGGGAAATACCCAATGGAAGCCATTAGAGCTGCTCTACCTAGAAAAATAGTAAATCAAAAACAATATAGCATCCAAGGAGGGACTGCAGAGACCCAGCATCAAGGACTTGAAAGAAACAGGGGTGGTGATTCCCACTACATCCCTATTCAACTTTCCCATTTGGCCTGTGCAGAAGACAAATGGATATTGGAGAATGACAGTGGATTATCATAAGCTTAACCAAGATGTGACTCCAATTGTAGCTGCTGTACCAGATGTGGTTTCATTGCTTGAGTAAGTTAACACATCTCCTGACACCTGGTTTGCAGTCACTGACTTGGCAAATTCTTTTTCTCCATTCCTGTCCATAAGGCCCACCAGAAGCAATTTGCCTTCAGCTGGCGAGACCAGCAATATACCTTTACTGTCCTACCTCAGGGTTATATCAACTCTTCAAAAAGACTTCTATTGCTTTTTCCTTCTGCAAAATATCACACTGGTCCATTATATTGATGGCATTATGCTGACTGAATCCAGTGAGCAAGAAGTAGCAGACACACTGGACTTATTGGTGAGACATTTGCATGCCAGAGGATGGGAAATAAATCTGACTAAAATTTAGGGAACTTCTACCTCAGTAAAATTTCTAGGGGTACTGGGGTATGGGGCCTGTCGAGATATTCCTTCTAAAGTGAAGGGTAAGTGATGCATTTGGCCTCTCCTACAACCAAGAAAAGGCACAATGCCTAGTGGGCCTATTTAAAATTTGGAGACAACACATTTCTCATTTGGGTATATTACTCGAGCCCACTTATTGAGTGACCCGAAAGGCTGCCAGTTTTGAGTGGGGACCAAAACAGGAGAAGGCACTGCAACAGGTCTAGGCTGCTGTAGAAGCTACTCTGCCACTTGGGCCATATGACCCAGCAGATCCAATGGTGCTTGAGGTGTCAATGGCAGATAGGCATGCTGTCTGGAGCCTTTGGCAGGCCCCCATAAATGAATCACAGCAAAGGCCTCTAGGATTTTGAAGTAAGGCCCTGCCATCTTCTACCAAGACTAGTATACGTGGACTCATGGAATGCCTTATCCACCATCATGGTATCCCACACAGCATTGCCTCTGACCAAGGCCCTCACTTTATGGCTAAAGAATTGTGGGAGTGGGCTCATGCTCATGGAATTCACTGGTCTTACCATATTCCCCATCATCCTGAAGCAGCTGGATTGATAGAATGGCGGAATGACCTTTTGAAGTCACAATTACAACACCAACTAGGTGACAATGCTTTGCAGGGCTGGGGCAAAGTTCTCCAGAAGGCCATGTATGCTCTGAATCAGCATCCAATATATGTTACTGTTTTTCCCATTGCCAGGATTCATAAGTCCTGGAATCAAGGGGTGGAAGTAGAAGTGGCATCACTCACCATCACCCCTAGTGATCCACTAGCAAAATTTTTGCTTTCCGTTCCCACAACATTACATTCTCCTGGCCTAGAGGTCTTAGTTCCAGCTGGAGGAATGCTGCCACCAGGAGACACAACAATCCCATTGAACTGGAAGTTAATATTGCCACCTGGACACTTTGGGCTCCTCCTACCTTTAAGTCAACAGGCTAAGAAGGCAGTTACAGTGTTGGCTAGGGTGATTGACCCAGACTATCAGGATGAAATCAGTCTACTACTCCACAATGGAGGTAAGGAAGAGTATGCATGGAATTCAGGAGATCCATTAGGTGTCTCTTGGTATTACCATGCCCTGTCATTAAGGTCAATGAGAACTACAACAGTGCAATCCAGGCAGGATTACAAATGGCCCAGATACCTCAGGAATGAAGATTTGGGTCATGTTACCAGGGAAAAAAAACACAACCTGCTGAGGTGCTTGCTGAAGGCTAAGGGAATATAGGATGGGTAGTAGAAGAAGGTAGTCATCAATACCACCTATGACCACGTGACCAGCTGCAGAAACGGGGACTGTAATTTTCGTGAGTATTCCCTCCTTATTTTGCTAAAAACATGTTTGTGCATGTATACGCTTGTACTAAGAAAATGTCTTTATTTTATTTCATTTTCATTTATCATGTGACATAAGATTTATTGACTTCATATCAGCATTTAAGTATTGTTAACTTTATATAATAGTATTAGGGTTGGGGACCAGTGCGTTTTCAGTTGTACAAGAGATAGTCATATGATGTTAGGTGTAATTATGACCTCATTATTGTCTTCATTTGAAGATTATGTATAATTTCAGAAGATGTGTATGGGTTCAAGTTGACAAGGAGTGGACCTGTGATGGTTAATACTGAGTGTCAAGATGATTGGATTGAAAGATACAAAGTATTGACCCTGGGTGTGTCTGTTAAAATGTTAAAAAGATTAACATTTGAGTCGGTGGGCTGGGGAAGGCAGATCCACCCTTAATCTGGTGGGCACAATCTAGTCAGCTGCCAGCAAATATAAAGCAGACAGAAAATGTAAAAACAAGAGATTGGCCTAGCCTCCCAGCCTACATCTTTCTTCCATGCTGTGCTGCATCCTTCCTGCCCTCGAACATCGGACTCCAAGTCCTTCAGTTTTGGGACTTGGACTGGCTCTCCTTGCTCAGCAGCTTGAAGACAGCCTATTGTGGGACCCTGTGATCGTGTAAGTTAATACTAAATAAACTCCCCTTTACATATATACATATATATATATATATATAATCATATTAGTTCTGTCCCTCTAGAGAACCCTGACTAATACATGTACTAAGCACTACTTTCACAATATACTATATGATTAGCACAGATGTACAGACAAAGCAAATGTGGCAAAAAGATAGGCTGAACTGTTAAAGATTTGGAAAAACAAAACACAAGGACACTATGGAGGTCAGGACAGTGAACATGAAATTGAGCATATTTGGACATCTCTTGGGAAAGGAAAAGGTCAAAGAAATAAGTAATTTGCATCCTAGCTCCAAACACATTTTAGTTGGGATTTGAGACAACAAATTTCAAGTTGACATAAGAAATTAATCTAATATCAGGTGACTGATATCAGGGTAATGGCAGAAAATCCAGCAAGCAAAAATATTAAATTGTCTGAAAAGATGTCACCAGAGCATTAGTTTTTTAATTCCCATGCATAATAGGATGAGACTGATTTACTTTCCCATGTTTTTGGGAAGGCTTGTGAAATTCCCCTGTACCCCCAGAGTGGAAAGATGACTGTTGGAAAATCACGTAGTTAGTTCCAACTAGGAACAGCTGTTTGTTTCCAATTAAAATTCACAAGACCAAAATATTAATATATTAGGCAACAATGTTTAATTTAGACATCCAGAGTAACATTTTCTAGCAAAGCATTATTTTTTAAAGAAAGCTGTCATGATTATTTAGCATAAATAATTCATGGCAAAACAGTTTAGTGTCTGCTGTTGATGTGCAAACAACTTTATCTCATACTGAGAAAAAGCTACTTAATATGAATCCAAGTGTAAAGGATTGTTCCTTGGTAAAAACTGAACTTCATTCATTGTTTCTCAAATATTTCACTTAGTAAAGTATTGCTGTTTTAAACAATGGAAAGACTGTCTTTTGCTATTAACGGTGCAAGTTAATGAAGTGACAATAACAAAGTGATGCATCTGACAAAGTTTATAGATAAGGATGTCATGCTATAGGTTATCAGCCTACAGTATTGGCACTAGTCATATATCATACCTCTCCAACACATCCCATCAGCATTGTTTATTTTAAGACAGGGGTTAAATAAAGAGCAGGTATTAAGAATGCCTTTGGGGAACTGCTTTGTCTTACATACTATTCACCTGTTTACTTCAGAGCAAGTTTTCAGTTGCTTTTATTTAGGTTCTTCAGTTGGACAGATGGCATTTAACAATTTGAAATGGGCTTTAGATTAACTACGAGAGAAATATCAGTTTTACTTTCATTCCTACATTTGCTATATGATCCTTTGTATATCTGCATTGGCTATTCTTGCATTGTTATAAAGAAATATCTGAGACTGGGTAATTTATAAACGAAAAAGGTTTGATTGGTTCACGGTTCTATAGGGTATACAGAAAGTGTGGTGGCATCTACTTCTGGGGAGGTCTCAGGAAGCTTTCAATCATGATGGATGGCAAAGGGGGAGCAGGTATGTCACATGGTGAATGTAGGAGCAGGAGAGAGAAGGGGAAGGTTCCACACACTTTTAAATGACCAGATCTCCCAAGAACTCACTTGCTATCACAAGGACAGCACCAAGGAATGGTGCTAAACCATTCATGGGACATCCACCCCCATGATCCAATCACTTCCTACCAGGCCCCACCTTTAACTTTGGAGATTACATTTCAACATGAAATTTGGCCGGGGACACACATCCAAACTACATCAGTATCAATATGAAGTGCCACTATGCCATATTACTACTCCATGTGCTTTACTTATGGATCGTCACTTAATTATGAGTAGTCTTTTAAACAGTTGCCTCACACACTAGACCTTTGCAACCTGAAAAGAATGTTGAGATGTGTGATGGTCTGCAAAAATAACTAAAAGTTATTCAGCCTTGTATAAATAACTTAACAAATCACCAGAAAAAAAGAGTGATGATTAATTCTCTCTACTCAATAGATAATCATCCAAATATTTTTCTCCCTTTAATAATCTCAAAAACTAACCTACTCCCCTGGACTATCCTGGAGAGATATAAGAAGGTAGGCTCTTGAAGGACCTGTGGTAAACATTTAATGTACTTTCACTTTCTGGAGTAGTTTGTCCATTTCTTTTACTCTATTCATATTTATTCATCAATTCATTCATTTACCTTACAGTTATTCATTGAGCATCTACTAACATGCACAATATTCGATCATCCAGGGTAACAAAACAAATTTATTGATACCTGTACTCTGAAACTTTACAGCATAGTTTGTGACACAAATCATATATGGTGTATGTGACTAATGACTCAAGGGGTGTCCTGTGTTCAGATCCTAACAGGAATAATTAGAAAGTGCATATCCGAGAAAGAGAGCTTCTCCCAGATGTTTTTTCTACTCCAATTTTATTCCTACCTCTCAAGTCGCAAGAGCCTCATACAAATGTAGCTGAATTACTTGTGAGGTTAGCATAACAAATTTCCAATTGAAGCAACTATCATAATTTTAGTAAAATAATCCAAGATGCTATATTTGGTGTAAAAGACATTATTTATGTAATAATAATACTCGTAAGAGAAACAACAGTGTTATTCACTCCATCTATATTAGAATTTATTTTTAAGTTAAGGTGAGAAGAGGAATGCTTTCACATGATCCCATAACCCTTGAGTCATACCACTGGCAAAAAATCTTCCACAACTTTTCACTCACTTCCCTCTATCTGATTCCAGTATCCACAACACTGAGCTACTTGAGAGTAGAGATAAAGGCACATGCATCTTTGTGTCTCTGATGTCTAATACAATCTCTGGCATATAATATATGTTTATTAAATATTTCCTGTCACACATTAGCAAATCTGGTTATACTGTATTCAAATGGTACCATAAGCGAGATCATACAGTTTCTAATGGGTGCAACTGAGAATCTCTCACCATTTAATAGTGTGCAGTCACAACGATATCATTTTGCTTTGAACCTGGGACATTGTGACATTGCATAACACTTAGCCAAGCAGCGTGGTGAAAGGGGCACTGTACATTCAGTCAAATGGCATGGTTTAAGTCCCAAATCTGCCATTTACTAATTATAAAACCCATGATATTTGTTTCCTCATCTGAAAAAAAAAGAGAAAAATAATATCTATTATTGCCCTCTTCACATAGATGGTCTGATAAATAAATGGGTTGTGATACCAGAAAGCTTTGTAGAATAGAAACTGTAAGTCAAAGAATTATTTTCAAATGCTCAGTTATCACAGATTCTTCTGAAGAACCACTTCAGTCTGCTACAAAATCATACTCTATCCATGAAATTCAATGCTCTGCCTATCCTTCTCACATGTAACCCCCATGCTTTTAAATCTTTGGGCCTCTAGGCCTTAAAAAAATCTGCATCACTGACTTATCAAAACTCATCAGCCTTTCTATCTCCGTATGGTTGGGTATGGATTATCTCCATTTAGAAGCTCTTCCCCATTCTTTAGCAACAGAATACAGTTCAAAATTCAATAAAAGCAAAATGCCATTTCTTTGTTCATGGAGTCACAAAGTATGCTGGTCCACAGTGATCTCGCTCTCTCCTCAAAGCTTTTGTCTGTACTAATCGTGCCTGGCTTGTAATCAGAGAGTTGTTTAAAATTTAAAGATTCTGAGTGATAAGAAAAGCCACGCTTTATTGACTGAGTATTGAGGGATAGGTCATTTACATGTATTATATCTTCTCATAAAAAAGTAACAGTGTAGGTAATATTAGTATCCTTTTCTATAAATAAGAAAATGAAGGCTCAACAAGACTATATAACTGGCAAAAGGTCACAGAGAAACTGGCAGTTGTGGGGATATAAATCCAAGTTTATCATGTTCATTCAATTAGATTTCCAAACTTCCAGGCTTTATTCCTTGAAATTATAATAGGTTCTCAATATTCTTCATGAGTTCACTGTTTTATTTGATTATTGCATTTTTATGTTAACTAAAACTTTTCAGACCAAATCATGTTAGTTCAAGTCTCTGTGTTTATGCAGCTTTACTTTAGTTTCCCAGAAAAGCAAAAAATAAAATGAAATAATTTGGTCTGACACTAATTCCTACATGATTGCTTCATTAGTTTCTTTGCATGCATTTTCCCTCCCATTTTCATTTTAGGTTTTAAATTTCTTTGGATTTAAAGCAAACTGAAATAATTAACTTGTAATATGTATTTTTAAATTTAGATCTAAGAATATTCTTTAGATCCTGGACCAGAAGACATATATGAGGAGGTGCACTCTCAGCAGAAACTTGGAAAATAAGCATGCATATTCTGTTTCTGCTGTTAGAAAGTGAAACTGTGGAATACATTTTTTCCAGCACTCAGTTCAAAGCTTGCTGTAGGGATCAGTCATTCTCCCATATGTTCTGGACATATCTTAGCATTTCTGAACTAACATCCAATTATGTCTCTGTCTTAAGCATGTCAATATAAACTAAAACCATGTCAGTTTAACTAGCAACACCTCTAACAAACTTCTTTCTCTTTTCTAATTTCAACTTTCATTTTAGATTCAGGGTGAATATGTGCAGCTTTGTTAAATGGCTATAATGCATGATGTGATGCTGAGGCTTGGGGAACAGATAACATCACCCAGGTAGTGGACATAGTACTCAAGAGGTAGTTTTTCAACCTCCCTAATTCCCCACTCTAGTAGTCCCCACTGTCTATTGATGCCATCTTTATGTCGAGGACTACTGAATATTTAGCTCCCATTTATAAGTGAAAATATGTGATATTTAGTTTTCTGTTCCTCTCTTAGTTTGTGTAGGATAATGGCCTCCAGATCCATCCATGTTACTACAAAGGACATGATCTCATTCTTTTTCATGACTACATAGTATTGCACTGTGCATATGTACTATTTTTTCTTATCAAGTCTGCCACTGATAGGCATGTAGATTAATTCAATATGATATGATTTGGCCGTGTCCCAAACCAAATCTCATCTTGAATTGTAGTTCCCACAATCCCCATGTGTCATGGGAGGGGCCCAGTGGGAGGTAATTGAATCATTGGGCAGTTTCCTCCATGCTCTTCTCATGATAGTAAGTGAGTTATCATGAGATCTGATGGTTTCATAAGGGGGTTCCCCACCCATTGCTCCTCACTTCTCCTTGCCGCCACCACCATGTGAATTAGGACGTGTTTGTTTCCCCTTCCACCATGATTGTATGTTTCCTGAGGCCTCCCCAGACCTCTGGAACTGTGAATCAATTAAACCTCCTTACTTTATAAATTACCCAGTCTTGAGTATGTACTTATAGCAGTGTGAGGACAAACTAAAACAGTAAATTGGTAGCAGGTAGTGGGGTGCCAATGTAAAGATACCCAAAAATGTGGAAGTGATTTTGGAACTGGGTAACAGGCAGAGGTTGGAACAGTTTTGAGGGGTCAGAAGAAGACAGGGAAATGTGGGAAAGTTTGGAACTTCCTAGAGAATTGGAGAGCTCAGAAAACAGGAAGATGTGGGAAAGTTTGGACGTCCTAGAGACTTGTTGAATGGCTTTGACCAAAATGCTGATAGTGATATGCACAATAAGGTTCAGGCTGAGTTGGTCTCAGATGGAGATGAAAAGCTTGTTGGGAACTAGAGTAAGGGTCATTCTTCCTATGAAAAGAGACTGGCCGTATTTTACTCCTGCCCCAAAGATCTGTAGAACTTTGAACTTGAGAGAGATAATTTAGGGTATATGCAGGAAGACATTTCTAAGCAGCAAAGCATTCAAGAGGAAGCAGAGTGTAAAAGTTTGGAAAATTTGCAGCCTGATGATGTGTTAGACAAGAAAAACCTATTTTCTGGGGAGAAATTCAAGCCCATTGCATAAGTAGCCAGAAGGCAAATGTTAATCACCAAGACAATGGGGAAAATATCTCCAGGGCATGTCAGAGACATTCATAGCAGCTCCTCCAATCACAGACCCCAAGACCTAGGAGGGAAAAATGGTCACCTGGGCCAGGTCCAGGGAACCCCTGCCATGTGCAGCCTTGGGAATTTGCACCCTGCATCACAACTGCTCAAGCCATGGCTGTGGCTAAAAGGGGACAACGTAGAGCTCAGGCTGCTGCTTCAGAGGGTGCAAGCCCCAAGCCTTGGTGGCTTCCACATGGTGTTGAGCCTATGGATGTGCAGAAGTCAAAAACTGAGATCTGGAATCCTCCAAATAGATTTTCAAGGATGTAAGGAAATGCCTGGATATCCAGGCAGAAGTCTACGCAGGGATGGAACCCTCATGGAGACCCTCTGCTAGGGCAGTGCAGAAAGGAAATGTGGGGTTGGAGCCCCCACACAGAGTTTCCACAGGGGCACTGACTAGTGGAGCTTGAGAAGAGGGACACCATTCTCCAGATCCCAGAACGTTAGATCCAACAACAGCTTGCATCGTGCACCTGGAAAACCCATAGACACTCAATGCCAGCAGTGAAAGCAGCCAGAAGCAGGGTTGTATCCTGCAAAGCCACAGAGGCACAGCTGCCAAAGTCCATGGGAGCCCACCTCTTGCATCAGCATAACCTGGATGTGAGACATGGAGTGGAGTCCAGGGAGATAATTTTGGAACTTTAAGGTTAAATGACTGCCCTATTGGATTTTGGACTTGCATGGGGCCTGTAGGCTCTTTGTTTTGGCCAATTCCTCCCATTTGGAATGGGTTTATTTACCCAATGCCTGTACCCTCATTGTATCTAGGAAGTAAATAACTTGCTTTTCATTAAACAGGCTCATAGGTGGAGGGGCCTTGCCTTGTCTCAGATGAAACTTTGGACTTGGACTTTTGAGTTAATGCTGGAATGAGTTAAGACTCTGGGGGACTGTTGGAAGGGCATGATTGTGTTTTGAATTGTGAGGACATGAGATTTGGGAGGGGCCAGGGGTGGGATGATATGGTTTGGTTGTGTCCCCACAAAAATCTCATCTTGAATGGTAGTTCCCATAATCCCAACGTGTTGTGAAAGGGACCCAGTGGGAGGTTATTGAATCACGGGGGTAGTTACTCCATGCTGTTCTAATGATAGTGAGTGAGTTTTCATGAGATCTGGTGCTTTAAAAAAAAAAAAACTTTGCCCCCACTTTGCTCTGCACTTCTCCTTGCTGCCACCATGTGAAGAAGGATGTGTCACCTTCCCCTTCTACCATGAATGTAAGTCTCCTGAGTCCTCCCAAGCCCTACAGAAGTGTGAGTCAATTAAACATCTTTCCTTTATAAATTACCCAGTCTTGGGTATCTCCTTATAGCAGAGTGAAAACAGACTAATACACCATGGTTTTGCTATTGTGAATAGTATTACTATGAACAAGTGTGTGCATGTGTCTTTCTGGCAGAATGATTTATTTTCTTTTGAGTATATACACAGTAATGGAACTGCTGGGCCAAATGGTAGATCTGATTTAAATTCTTTGAGAAATCTCCAAACTATTTTTCCCAGTGGCTGAACTGATTTACATTCCCACAGTGCATAAGTGTTCCCTCTTCTCCACAGCCTGACCAGCATCTATTTCTGTTTTGTTTTGTTTTCTTTTGTTTTTGACACTTTAGTAATAGCCATTCTGACTGATGTGAAATGGTATCTTATTGTGGTTTTGATTTGCACTTCTCTGATGATTAGTGATTTTTTCATATTTTCATTGTCCAATTTTATGACTCTTCTTGAGAAGTGTCTGTTCATGTCCTTTGTCCATTTTTTAATGAAGTTTTTTGGTTTTTGTCTGTTGACTTAAGATCCTGATAGATTCTGTATATTAGACCTTTGACAGATGCATAGTTTGTGAATACTTTCTCCCATTCTGTAGTTTGCCTGTTTACTCTGATGAAAATTTCTTTTGCTGTGCAGAAGCTCTTTAGTTTAATTAGGTCCCATTTCTCAATTTTTGTTTGTGTTGCAATGGCTTTTGAGGACTTAGTCAAAGTTTTTTGCCAAGGCCAATGTTAAGAAATGTATTTCCTAGGACTTCTTCTAGAATTTTTTAATAGTTTGAGGTATTACATTTAAATCTTTGATCCATCTTCAGTTAATTTTTGTATATGGTAAAATTTAGGCCTCTAGTTTCATCCTTCTACATATGGCTAGCCAGTTATCCCAGTGTCATTTATTGGATAGGAAGTCCTTTCCCCTTTGCTTATTTTTGTCAGCCTTAAAAAGATCAGATGGTTGTAGGTGTGTGGATTTATTTCTTAGTTTTCTGTTCCATACCATTTGTCAATATGGCTGTTTTTGTAACAATACATTGCTTTTTTTGGTTACTGTAGCCTTAAAGAACAGTTTAAAGTCAGGTTGTATGATGTCTCTGGTTTTGTTCTTTTTGCTCAGGATTGCTTTGACTATTTGGGCTCTTTTTATTTGGTTCTATATGAATTGTAGACTAAATCTTTCTAATTGTGTGAAAAATGATGTTGGTAGCTTGATAGGAATGGCATGGAATCTGTACATTTCCTTGGGCACTATGACCCTTTTAATGACACTGATACTTCCATTCCATGAGTATGGAATATTTCTCATTTATTTGTGTCATTTCTCATTTATTTCAGCAATGTCTTGTATTTCTCCTTGTAGAGATATTACACCTCCTTGGTCACCTGTATTCCTAGGTATTTCATTTTCTTTGTGACTACTGAAAATGGGATCATGTTCCTGATTTGACTCTCAGCCTGGAAGTTATTGATGTATAGAAATCCTATTGATTTTAGTAAACTGAATTTGTATCCTGACACTTAAGTTGTTTATCAGTTCTAGGAGCCTTTTAGCAGACTCTTTAGAGTTTTCAATGTATAAAATTATATCATAAGTGAAGGGAGATAGTTTGATTTCTTCTTTTCCTATTTGGATAGATTTTGTTTCTTTCTCTTGTCTGATTGTTCTGGTTAAAACCTCCGCCACTATGTTGAATAGAAGTAATGAGAGTGGGCATCTTTGTCTTTTTCTGGTTCTCAAAGGGAACACTTACAGCTTTTCCTTATTCAGTATGATACTGCCTGTGGGTTTGTCATAGACGGCACTTTTATTTTTAGATATGCCCCTTCAATGCCTAGACTGTTGAGGGTTTTCATCACAAAGTAATGTTGGATTTTATCTAAAGCTTTTTGTGCATCTATTGATATGATCATAT